>NT_187599.1:0-180703 GCF_000001405.40 Homo sapiens | reverse complement strand
GAATTCAGGGCGAGCCCACAGTGCAAAGTAAAAGCGAGCTTATTAAGGAAGTAAAGTGGTAAAAGGACAGCTACTTCGTAGACAGAGTAGAGCGTTCCCGAAAGTAAGAGGAGGAACGCGTCCACCCTAGGTACAATGCTGGTATATATGGGGAGATGCGCTCTGCTACAAGGGTTTGTGATAAAGAATTAATTTTCTTAATTGCTATATTTTGCAAGGATTGATATTATTACCTTTAAAGCAAAATTAGGAATGCCGTTGTTCTCTAGATATTGGGATAGCCGAACACTCCCAAGTCTGGGTCTGTTTAGTAAACATTATTCATTTGTTCCCTTAACTGTAAACATCTAGAGGCTTGGAATGCCTCACTTTCTGAGGATGCAGCTCAGCAAATCCCCGTCTCATTTTCCAGCCCTCACTGAAGATGAAGTCGCTCTGGTTCGAACGCCTCTGACAATCCTACGGGCGAGCACATCATTTTCCAGCCCTCACTCAAGATGGAGTCGCTCTGCTTCCAACACCACTGACAATCCTACGAGTGAGCATAACATTTCTGGATTAGAGGGAGACCCACTTTTTATTTACAGAACATATTGGCATTGGTTCCTCGTGACTGCTGCCCACCTGGGACAATGTGGTGATAGCGAGAGGAGGCTGCCTGTGCAAAAGGGGGTTTTGCTCTACAGGAGGGAAACCTGAAGATTATGAGTCTTAGAGCTGATGTAGGAACTGTTACACCCATGGGAGAGTGTAAGATAAACCTTATTTTCTAATGTCAACAGATCCTCTCTGAGAAGAGAAGGGAAAGGTCCCAGATTTACAGTTCTTTGGGATGTAAAGTAACGGTCCTGATTTTCATCTGGCTTGGAAATCTAAACACATACCAAAAGGGAGATAAACCTGTCAACCTTTTCCCTGGGTTCTTTCTTTCTTTCTTTCTCCCCCGTCCCTCCCTCTCTCTCTCTTTCCCTCCCTCCCTCCCTCCCTCCCTCTCTCTCTCTTTCCCTCCCTCCCTCCCTTCCTTCCTCTCTCTCTTTCCCTCCCTCCCTTCTTTCTCTTCCTTTCTCTCTCTCCTTTCTTTTTTCTTTCTCTTTTTTTTTTTTTTGAGACAGAGTCTCACCCTGTCTCCAGGCTAGAGTGCAATGGTGCGATCTCGGCTCACTGCAACCTCAGCCACCCGGGTTCAAGAGATTCTCCTGCTTCAGCCTCCCGAGTAGCTGAGACTACAGGCGCCTGCCACCACACCCAGCTAATTTTTTTATTTTTAGTAGAGATCGGGTTTCACCATGTTGCCCTGGCTGGTCTAGATCTCTTGACCTCATGATCCACCTGCTCCCAGCCTCCCAAAGTGCTGGGATTACAGGTGTGAGCCACCGCGCCTGGCCTCTTGCTTTCTTGCTTTCTTGCTCTCTTTCTCCTTCCCTTCCCTTCCTCTCCCCTCCCCTCACTCCTTCCCTCCCTCCCTCCCTCCCTTCCTTCCTTCCGTCCCTCCTTCCTTCCTCTCTTTTCCTTCCTTCCTTCTCTCTTTCCTCTCTGTTTCCCTTCCTTCCTTCCCTCCTTCCTCTCTGTTTCCCTTCGTTCCTTCCTTCCTTCCCTCTCTCTTTCTTTCTTTTCTCTCTCTCTCTTTTGAGTTGATATGTCACACTGTTGCCTTGACTGGAGTGCAGTGGTGCATCATAGCTCACTGCAGCCTCAAACTTCTGGGGTCAAGTGATCCTCCCACCTCCGCCCAAAGTGCTGAGACTACAGGTGGGAGCCACTGGGCCTTCCCCTGGGTGTTTCATTATCTGAGTCTTTCTAGGCTGGTTTCCCTTCCAGGCATCCGTTAACCCAGGTTACCAGTAATTTTTTCTCAGAAAGCCATGACCTTGCAGAAATACCAACATATTTTCTCTATAATAAAAAATCCTTGGTGCAGAGTTTCTTTCACCAATGTTTGGAAAATGTTGCTCCACTTTGCCCTGCTTTGCTATTACTTTTGAGAAATCTGATGCCAGGCGGGCTCCTTTGCTCTTGTAAGCTATTTTTAATTTGTTTTTGAAACATAATAATTTCATTAGATATTTTCTCAGAGTTGGTCATGTCTGATTAATTATCTCGGCATCTATGGGGGTGGGCCTTTCAATACATACACTCGTCTTTTAATTTTGAGGCATCTTCTTGGACTAAGGTCTTACGTATGATGCCTGTCCCGTTGCTTTGTTTCGCATCTTCTGGGGCTCCAGTTATGCATGTATGATTCCTTCTTTGCTTGTTTCCCATGTTCCCCACTTCTCTGTGGCCCTTTTTATTTCTTTTATGGTCTCATTTTCATTCTCTTAGTTACTTTTCTACTTTATTGCCTTTCTTTATTTAAGTCTATTATTTCTTGGGCATCTCATAATTCAGCCTTCATTTCTGAGACAATTTTGTCCGTTTCTTTCCTTTCTTTTCTGGTTTCAGCCAACCCTTTTTATTTCTTTCTGCTTTTGTCTACTTATATTCCAAGAGTTTGAATTTCTGACTCAGGGTGGGTTTTCCTATTCCCCAGGTGCTTCTGTGAGTATATTTCATTCACTTTAGAGTGTGGCCTTGCTGTTTTTTTCCTACTTCTTTTTTTCCAGGAGTGGGGATTTTTATCAAATGAGGTGTGTTGATTTTTGTAGTAGCTTTAAATAGACAATACTCTTCTGATCATTTTGTGAGTTTGGGTGGTTTACAAGGTTCCTGCTTCAGCACAGTCTGTTCTGTCGGCGTGGCGAAGTCTAGTTTCTCGCATGAATCTGTGTGTGAGTGTGTGCTGGGAGTGGGGGATGTGTGCCCTCTGCATTTTCTGGTTCACCTTTTCCTACAGGACCTGGGACTTCTCCCCTTTCCTCCTTTTTGGCTTGGCTGCTGGATGCCTAAAGAGCACATCTCCCTTCTTTTCCTCGTTTGCTTCTCCTGAAGTTCTGCATTTCACAGGTGCCACTTCAGGTTGTGTGTGCTTTTCGGGCCCATCTCTGCAGTTAGCAGGCGGACCTAAAGGGCACTTGTTCCGTGTTTTCACACGTGCGGAACGGTGCTATTTCTGCCGGTTTTAGAGCACTCCTACACCCCTCTCTAGCTTTCCTCTTCTCTCTTTCCTGTCTTATTCTTGGACTGCTCCTACCTACTGCAAAGAATGTGAGAAATCGCTTGCTGGGATGTTTTTCTTTTTCCCTTTTTTCCCCTGCGGTTGACTTGAAGTTGGGGCATTCCTGTCTTTGTGTGGTTTCACTTGACCTTCCTGTTGACCTGCACTGATTCTGGAGGATTTTGGGGGTGATGCAGACCTAGGCAGGTTCCATTCTCTTTGGTTGCTCAGAAGTCCTCTTAGAGAGTGTTAGAGTGCATTTATTGATTGTGAATGATTTTAAGACTCTTCACATGTTTAAGAATTAGTTGATTTTATTTTCTGCACCTGTTTATCTTACTTGATTATATTCTTCTATTAACATGTAGGCCCTGCTCTTATTGATTTCTAGAAAGTCTTTACATATTAGAACAATGGTGTTGTGCCTTGCAAAAGGTTTCTCTAAGTTCCTAGGTTGTCTGTGGGCTTTGCTGAAGGAGCCTGATGCTGTTAGCTCCGGCAGCATGGCGGAGGGCTTAGGCCTTTACGTTCATGTGCAGGCAGAGAGGCTTTGAGAACAGGACCATTATATATGCAAGGCAGGACTGGGGGACACTTAACTCTCTTCCTGTGGAGCTGTGGGGCAGAGATGATGGGGAAAGAGCAGGGAAGGAGGTAGCAGAGAGGGACCTGCAGGAACACAGAGAAAGGCAGCGTGTGTGTGTGTGTGTGTGTGTGTGTGTGTGTGTGTGTGTGTGTGTGGTGGGGGCTCGCCAGCTAGCTGGTGTCTGCAGTTCTTCCGCTCGCTGAGAGATGAAAGGAAGGGCAGAGACGAATGTACATGCAAATGGATAATCTGTGCAGCTTTGCAGAGTGCGGGGCCATTTGCATAAATATTGTTTGCAAGAAGCAATTAGTGGTTCATTTACATGCAGTGAAGTAGCAATTTGCACTTTTTTCAGGAACAATTTCTTTGCCAACGTGCACATATTTGATGCTTTGCAATTGGCCTGTGATAGTAAGGGTTTACAATTTTTCATGTTTGGTTCCTATCTTGCTTTCCTGAGGTATGGAATTTTTCCTTTAAAAAAAGAGAGTGCCACATTAAGGGCGAAAGTTCTCCAAGCTAGCATTCCTGGTGAACACTTACGCCTTTTCTGACTGTGTCCAAGCTTCTGCATCTCCCTGAGTACCTGTGCAGACCATTTTCTTGGCCTCCTACTTTAAGTGAAGTACCTTTACGTACCTTTAAGTGAAGCTTTCTCAGTTGGGCAATGATTGGCCACACCAGCACGCACTGCCCTCCTCCCCTACCTTGGGTCAAGCTGCAGTGAAGAAGGCTCTGCCTTGGGCAGGATCAGTGACTATGGGTCTCAGTTCAAAGAGACAGGATCATGGTCTGGTATCTGGTGGTCCTGGGAGGAGTGGGAGCATCCGTGCCCAGCCCCTACCAAGTGACCCCAGCTAGGCCTGGTCCGGCCCGCACTCTCACTGATGTCAGTGCTGTTCACGTCTCAGCTGAAGCTTCAGCCTTTCCTGCAAGGGCTGTGGCAGACAAATCCAGCAGAGGACCTGTGCGGAGGCTTCACCGCAATGGTGACCTCGCAGTCAAGTCTTGCTCAACTTCCGAGGAAAGCCCATACCATGTACACTTGTACAGGTGTGAACATGTACAAGGAGAAAGAGAAGCAGAACAAATACAGCCACCAGAGAGGACCTAGAGCAAGTATAACTGGTGTCCTCAGAGAGGAATGAGACCAGTGGGTATTGCAGAGAACCCATGAGAGGTCTTGCAATGAAAAAAAGTCATCAAGAACAAAAGCAAGAATGGCTCCAGTGATGGGAGGCAGAGTGGGCATCTGTGGGAGAAGCAGGGAGCTGGGCGAGGATGCTGAGGGAGTTTACTGGAATGTGACACAAAGGGATGGAGTTGGGAAGCACAATAGGCAAGCTGAGATGTGGAGGACGATCTAGAGGCCATAGCATCCCTCTCCTAGGATTTCAGGGGGAGAGAATAAAGGGGAGGTGCTGGGGGTGGGACAACAGCCAGGGCATGTTTTCATCTCTACCTTTTCAGAGCTAAAGGCAGGTGCTGGCCTCACTGAAAGAGCCCACCAAGTGCCTAGCAGGATAAACACAAATAACCAAAACCCCCAAATTCATTCCTTGCTACATCAAAGTGCAATGTGGATCGTCAGTGATAAAGCTAAAGCTGGGTGGGTAGGGGGAGGGGAAACCCCAATTATCTAAGAGGAACAAGGATCAGATTGACACCTGCCTTCTCATCCGCAGCATTGGGGGAACAGGTTAAGACTGCAAAATCTCCCCAGTTGTGAGGTGAAATCCTTGGACAATCCACTATTTATATGCAGATAGAAAATAAAACCAGCCGGGCAGGGAGGCCCAAGCCTGTAATCCCAGCACTTGGGGAGGCTGAGGCGGGTGGATCACCCGAGATCAGGTCAGGAGTTCGAGATCAGCAATTCCAGACCAGCCTGGCTGACATGGTGAAACCCTGTCTCTACTAAAAATACAAAAATCAGATGGGCGTGGTGTTGCACGCCTGTAATCCTAGCTACTAGGGAGGCTGAGGCAGGAGAATCGCTTGAACCCAGCAGGTGGAAGTTGCTGTGAGCCAAGTTCATACCACTGCACTCCAGCCTGGGTGACAGAGCGAGACTCTGATTCAAAAAACAAACAAACAAACAACCATTTAGCTCCCGTAGTCCCCCGACTTTCTGAAAGAAGTGCCAGAAGATGTGCTGTAGCAAGAGGAAAAGGGCGCCCGGGAGCTGATGCTGACTGACGGTTCTCATTCCTGCTGTTGCTCAGGTGCTAAGTGCTGCACGGGAATTATCTCACTGAATCCTCATGATGCCACGAGCCTGGTGCTGCCAGTCACATTTCACAGGCGAGGAAGTAGAAGTACAATAATGTTAGCGTATTGTTAAGTTCAAATAGGTATTGATTGCTAAAAATGATAACAATCTAGCACTAAAATTCCATGTGGGATCAACATGGGGGATTTGAGGGAGATGTGGAGAGTGGACAAAAGCGACATTATGTGATGGGTCTCATCTTGTTCGGAGAGTATCTCGACTCTGACAAATTCTTGACACTGTCGGAAAAACAGATGCTTAAGTGTGTATTTTCTAAATCTATAGGTAATCAAAAGGAATTGGAAATAGAATGTAACTATTTCAAAGACAGGTGAGGAAAAATGGAATAAAATAAACCTAATTTCTAAAATAAGATGAGAAAGGGGGGAAACAAACCCCAGGAAATACAAAGTAAGATTTTATTTGATCAGAAATCATAATAAATGTCAGTGGGCTAAACACACGTGTTGAAAGACAGAGACGCTCAGATTGAACAGAAACAAATAACAAATTCTAGCTGAAATGTTGCTTACAAAAGACATACTTAAAGTTGCCTAGAAAGTTAAAAATTAAAGGCATAAAAAAGTCTATCAAAAATGCCAAAAAATGCAAGCAGTCCTAGCAATATTTATATAATAGAAGATAAAATTTAAGGCAAAATGTTTAAAAGAGACAAAAGGGGATATTTCATGTTGACAAATGGAACAACTCATAAAGAATACATGAGGCCAGATGCAGTGGCTCATGCCTGTAATCCCAGCACTTTGGGAGGGCAAGGCGGGCAGATCCCCTGAGGTCAGGAGTTCGAGACCAGCTTGGCCAACATGGTGAAACACTGTCTCTACTAAAAATACAAAAATTAGCCAGCATGGTGGTACACACCTGTAGTACCAGCTACGTGGGAGGCTGAGGCAGGAGAATTGCTTGAACCTGGGAAGCGGAGGCTGCAGTGAGCCAAGATCGTGCCACTTGCATACTAGCCTGGGTGACACAGTGAGACTCTGTCTCAAATAAAAAAAAAAAAAAGAAAAGAAGAAGACTCCATAAGAGTCATAAACTGAAATATATAATGAAAAAATACATTAAGTAAAAAAAGAAAATTATGAATCCATAGTCATGGTGGGAGACCTACCCCAGAAACTGAAGAATTTAATAGACTATAAATAAATATAAGCAATTAAAGCTTAATCTAATAGACACATAGAAATACATATTCAACAAATAATAAACTTTTTTTTAGCACAGCAAGAACATTAAAAAAAGTGTACTAGATGACTAAGAGAATTTTGACAATTTAAAAATTAACATCTAAGGCTAACTTCAGTAACCACAAAGCAATAAAATTAGAAATCAATGGCAAAAAGAAAGTCCATCAAAATGAGTATAGCTGGAAATACACTGCTAATTATTTTAGCAGGTGTTAAAGTAAAAATAGAAACTGTTAACTATCTGTAGCCAAATGGCTATAAGAACATTTCATGTCAAAACCTATGGGATATGGCCAAAGTGTTATCAAGAGGAAAATGTATAGACTTAAATTGATTCATTAAAATAGAATATGAATAGGTTAAGATTTTAAACTGAAGAAGCTGGAAAAGCAACAGAATAAACTCAGAGAAATAATGTGTTAATCATAAAGGAGCATGATAATCATAAAGACAGCCATGGGATCACAGAAAAAGGGAGACACTGTTGACCATGCCCTTCCCAGCACTGTCCAGGGAGAGGGAGCCACTGTTTTAGACATCAAGTGCTTGTAGTCACCTGGACAGGTGTATGTTATTGGGAGATGCAAGGCAGCTCCTCTTAGCTTGAGCTTGTTATCATGAAATAATCTTATTCCCCATCTGATTCCATGCTCTCCAAGATGACTTCTAATGGTGCCTTCCCAGATAACACTGCTGACAGCAAATGCAGTTTGAGTAGGGATGTTAGTGTCCTAGTCTTGTAAATGGTAACTTCTCAGGGTAAATCAGCACATCAACATTCTGATTTCCCATATCAGTGATCACCTTGCCAAAATCAGGCTGCTGGTATTCTCCAAAATATGGCTGTAAGGATTTGTTAATCATTCTTCACCCCTCATCTCTCCACTGATCAATCCACCTACCCACCCACTCACACAGTCATCAATGTGTGAGTAATCAATACATTTATTTATCCTTCCTCCTCCTTCCTCCCTGCCACCCTCCCATCCATCCATCCATCCATCCACTCAAACATCCACCCACCCACCCATCCATTCATCCATCCACCCACCCACTCACTCACTCATTCATCCGTTCATCCACCTACCCATCCATCTACCCACCCACACATCCATCCATCCACCCAACCATCCATCCATCCATCCATCCATCCATCTATCCATCCGTCCATCCACCCACCCCTTCATCCACCCACTCACTCATTCATCCATTCATCTAACTACACATCCATCTACCCATCAACTCATCCATTTATCCACCCAAATGTTCATCCACACAACCATCCATCCATCCACCCATCCATCTCTCCATCCACCCAAACATCCAACCACCCATCCATCCACCCGAACATCCATCCATCCATTCATCCACCCACCCAAACATCCATCCATCCATGTATCCATCCATGCATGCATCCATCCATCTATCCATCCATCCACCCATCTATCTATCCACCCCTCCATCCACCCACCCACTTATTCATCCATACATCCATCCATGCATCCATCTACCCACCCACTCGTCCATCCACCCATCCATTCATCCATTCATCCAACCAGTCACCTATCCACCCTCTCATCCATTTATCACTCTCCTACTGATGTATGAATTCATTTATTCATCCTCTTATCCCCCATGCACCCAACCACCCTCCATCCATTCACCCCTCTGCAGGGGCCTTCATTTGGCAGTTCTTCTGGAGTGGTTGGCACCACTCATTTCTCTCCCATGCACGGAGGACTCCGTTGTGTCATGCTCAGGTGGAGTGCAGCAAGTGAGATGGTGAACAGTGCCCCTCAGTCATCTTTCAGATGGAGAGCAGTCTTCTTTATATGATCTTATGTTTGCCCTCAGTAGGAGCCAAGAAAATGGGGTGAAACATGAAGACATTAGATCTTTTGTGGTTTGCTATCTCAATCTCCACTGACCCCTTCCCAGCCCCGATCTTTTTCAGCCTTGCTTCTTCCTCCAGCCATGCCCTTCTTCCCCTTCGACCAGAGGCCTTGCAGCGCCATCCATGGGCCCTGCCTCGAGTCCTAGGGCACTGCCTGCTGGCCTGGCTCTTCTACACAATCCACAGCTTCCCTCACATGGGATGTGGTGGGGGTGAGGAAGTGCCTGCTGAGGAGACTCTTTCTGGAGTGTTCTATTTATAACCTCCTGCTTTAGAGAAGTTCCAGGTGCACCTGGGCCCTGTACTATGTATTTCTGGACTCTTTCCCACACCTGGCCAAAGCCAGCTGTCCTGGATCCTTCCAGGCCTCAGGCAACAGGACAGACAGGCCCTGACTGGGAGCTGGCAGGAAGGAGAAAAGCAAAGCATCCCTGAGGTAGGGGCGGTACTGCAGCAGAGGACAAGGATAGGAGGGAGCTCTGCAGCCTGGGGGTCAGTGGGGGGAGCCATACCACCCCTGAAGTTCCAGGTGGACATCTCCTCCACAGAGGGAGCTGGGAGTGTCCTCCCCTAGCCCCAGTGACAGCGGCTGGAGCACAGGGTCTCTCTCCCCTCACTCATGTGTGCAGATGGTAGTCACAAGCTGGTGAGGCTGTGGAGAAATAGGAACACTTTTACACTGTTGGTGGGAGTGTAAATTAGTTCAACCATTGGGAAGACAGTGTGGTGATTCCTCAGGGATCTAGAACCAGAAATACCATTGGACCCAGCAATCCCATTACTGGGTGTATACCCAAAGGATTGTAAATCATTCTACTATAAAGACACATGCACACGTATGTTTATTGCAACACTATTTACAATAGCAAAGACTTGGAACCAACTCAAATGCCCATCAGTGATAGACTGGATTAAGAAAATGTGGCACATATACACCATGGAATACCATGCAGCCATAAAGAAGAATGAGTTCATGTCCAAAACCGAACACCAGCTGTTCTCACTCATAAGTGGGAGTTGAACAGTGAGAACACATGGACACAGGGAGGGGAACATCACACACTGGGGCCTGTTGAGGGGTGGGGGGTAAGGGGAGGGAGAGCATTAGGACAAATACCTAATGCATGAGGGGCTTAAAGCCTAGATGACAGGTTGATAGGTGCAGCAAACTACCATGGCACATGTATACCTATGCAACAAACCAGCACATTCTGCACATGTATCCCAGAACTGAAAGTAAAATAATAAAAATAATTATATCAAAAAAGATGAAATAAATCGCCAATGTCCATATGAAAAAATGTGCTATTTGTATAATACACCAAAGACAAAAGGAAGAGCAGTTCCAGAAGCAAATCCACTTATATGTGAATTTAAAATATTTTAAAGTTAAAATTTTTAAAAAGTAAAAGAAGTTCAATATACAATTGCCACCCATATAAGGGGAAAAGGTTGATCACCTTTCACAATATCCAAAACATTGAATTGAAAGTTATTTAAGCTTTAAAAGAGATTTTGTAAATAGCAAAAGTATTAAATTTTTAAAGACTATAAAAAATAAAATGGGGTAATACAAACACATGACTTGACAATTTGCTTTTTTAAATATAGCACTAGACAGATAATCCTTCAAGCCAATACTCACAGAAACGACTCCCGTTTAACAGCTCAAAACTTTCCATTATAAGGAGGTGCCAGAATGTATTAAATTGCTCCCTGGTTTATAAACATTCTGGTTGTTTTCCATTTTTGGCTGGTACAAACCGTTGTAATAAACATTCATGTACACATGTCCTTATGAAATGAGGCTTTTCTGTTGAGCCCCCGTGTTTCAGAAGTGGTGGATCTGGGTCAAAGCATGTGCGGCGATCTTAGCTTCTACTGACTGTGCCAGTTCCCGCCAGAAGACCACGGGGCTCCCTCCTCCCTGGGGTCCCCAGCTTTGGCAGGCCAGGAGTGGGCATTATCAGCCTTTTAAAGCTTTGGGATTTAATTTTGGAGGCAGCCTGCGTCCAGTGATGGGTCAGTGTGGAGGTACAAAGGTCCAGCTCCTGCTCCTCTGTGGGGTCGCTCTGAAGGGGCTGTTCCCAGGGGATTGCTTCTGTGTCACCGAGCATTTCTCCCTTGGCCCAGTCCTGCTGCTCTTGGTGGCTCACAGGTGTTGCTCCTGAGAGGAACCCGCACACTCAGTCCTCCTGTCTACAAACCTCGAGGTCCAGCGTCAGTTCTCCTAAACTAGGGGTGGTCCTAGGAGGCAGACACACATGGGATTTGGGGCTAGACTAACCACTGCCAGTCACTGGCTGCGGTCCCTGTTGCTGTGGCTGGTGCAGAAGTGATAGCCCTGCCGTGTCAGGGACCCTCTCACCGTGGTGCCCCAGGTGCTGTATTGGGTAGGGGAGGAACTGCACTGGTTGGTGCCTTATCTCAGAAGCACGAGAGGCAGAGGCAATGTAGGAATCACAGAGCCATGGATCAGATGGCTGTTGCTGGGTGCTACAAATTCCTGGAGAAAGATGATGGGAGCCGAGCTTGACTCATCTCCACTCAAGGCTGGGTGTGGGGGCAGTGGGCCTGCTTGGCAGCCTGTCCAGAGAGTCTCATCCCCTACGGTTGGAGGCAGGGACAGGTGGGGGTCCAGTCCAGGGCTTAAATTCTAAGAGCAACATAGCTCCTGAGGTGATGGGACCCTCAGCCTTGGCAAGGCTGCCATGCTGGCCTCAGGCCTCCATGGTGGGCCCCTTTAGGATAGAACTTATTCCCCAAACTGCCATATGAGCTGCCCTCGATGGCTCCTGGCTGCCAGCCTCTTCTGATGCTGCCTCATCCCAGGTCACTCCCTGTCCCAGGCCAGCTGCTTCCAGTGACTGATCAACATGTGCTTACAAAGGCCCAGGCCCTTGACCCTGGGGTCAGCTGAGCCACCACTGAGACTGTGTCTCGGCCAGGAGCCCCTCTGCCCTCTCCTGTTTTTCTTTTCTTCCCCATCTGTGCTCACAGAATCCTTCCAACAAACCTCACTGGGTACTTCTCCACCTTAGAGCCTGCTTTCTAGGGAACCCCACCTGTGATGACATGCTCAGAGGTTGGGGCTCTCCCATGCCTTCTGGAAGCCTCTGGGCCTACAGAAGGGGCTTGCTCCTTCCTGTCAGAGACAGGCACTTCCTTGTGTATGAGTTTTCTGGGACGGCTGAGTCTAAGTACCATAGATGGGGCAGCTTAAACAACATTTATTTTCTCACAGTTCTGGAGGCTGGGAGTCCAATATCCAGGTGCCAGCATCTGCTGAGGGCCTTCTTGCTATGTCATCTCATGGTGGAGGCAGAAGGGCAGGAGAGCCCACACATGCAAGAGAAAGAGGGGTTCAATTCTTTCTTTATAAGGAATCCATTTCCAAGGTAAATAACCCACTTTCCCAGTAATGGCAATAATCCATTCATGAGCCCTCCTGACCTAGTCACCTCTTGAGGGCCCCACCTCTCAGCACTGTCACACTGGGGATTGAATTTCCAACATATGAATTTTGGGGGACACATTAAAACCCTAGCTGGAAGCATCATCCCAATCTCTGCCTGCATCTTCTCATGGTGTTCTACTTCTATGCATATCTATCACCAAATTTTTTACAAGGACATCAATTACATTGGCTGAGGGCCCACCCTAATGACCTTCTTTTAACTTGATTACCTCTGTAAAGACCCCATCTCCAAATAAGACCACATTCTAACCTGCTGAGGGTCTGGACTTCAACATGTCTTTGCTGCGGTCACAGTCAACCCATAACACCTGTTGGAAGATGATTCACAGGTTTGCTTTGCAAGGAGAATGCATGGCCTCTAAGGAGGGGCTACTCCATCTCTCCTGCTGGTGACCAACGTCAAAGAATGAGTTCTGCTGAGAGAGGGAGGCCAGCGTGCCCCGATGGCTCTGCAGGATCTGAAGACCACGTACCAACAGGCGGCAGGGATATGTGTGCGCCTGGACCACAGTGTGCTGGATTGGGGCAGGGGAGTAGAACATAAATGTTGGGTAAGAAAGAATTTATCCAAAAGGTAGAGGTGTCCTGGAATACAAAGGTTTAACACCAGGCAAGAGCCCTGGGAGGCAGGGTTAACTTGTTCCTAGGATGGTGGAGCAGACAGAATAATGCCCCAAAGATGTCCACATCCCAATTCCTGCAACCCATGAGTATGTTACCTTTTATGGAAAAAGAGACTCCGTGCATGTGATTAAGGTTGAGGACCTCAGGTTGCGGGGCATCCTGGATTTTCCAGATGGGTCTAATGTCAACATAGAGAGTCTTCTAGCTGCAGAGACCAGAGGAGTGGAGCATGAGAAGGGCTGGACTGGTGTTACTGGCTTTGAAGATGGAGCAAGGAGGCCAGTAGCCAAGGAACGCAGAACCCTCTAGAAACTGAAAAGGCGAGGAAACAGATTCTCCCCTGAAGACTCCAGAGAGAACAAAGCCCTGCAGATGCCTTGATTTTAGACTTCTGACCCTGGGATGTTCTCACCTCCCAGAACTGTCTGACAATCCATTTGTGCCGTTGTGGCATTTTGTTGCAGCAGTGACAGAAAACTCGTCTAAGTGGCTCTAAGAAGTTTGGAAAGTGGATACTCAACCCTGTAAAATAGAACAGCCAGGACAGATGGTGGGAGAGGGGGCAAGGACTCAGGGACAGGGGCGTGCTCGAGTGTCCGTGCTACAAAGGCTGCAGCACCCACCGAGGTTGCATTCCTGGGTGGAGAAAGGGTGGCTGCAGAAGAGTCTCCATTTACCAGAGCAAGAAAGTTGCACTGGGGAGGGGGCAGAATCACTGAGAAGCTCAGCGGGATGATGGTTGGAGCTGCTGTCACAGGACTGGGTGCCCTGAGAACAATGCGGCTGGTGGGATCCCCAGATAAGACAGACCAGGTGGTGCCAGCTAATCGTCGGGAGCAAGGTGAGCTCAGGTCCTAACGAGCAGCAAAGTCAAAGAAGGAGCCAGCGTGTCCTGACCAACAGAAAGTGGAGGAGATGGACAACAGGACTGGGCATCCCTGGAGGAAAGGCAGAGGCATCTCTCACTCTGGTGCACTTGACACCATCATAGGGCATGAAGGGGAACCATCCCAAGGGCAGCCTGACAGGAGACGTCATGACACCCGGCCCAGTTTCTGGACCTAAGCCAGGTTTTAGATCCAGAACAAAATTAATTTGCAAATTATCATATTTTTATAGAGTATCTTGAGATTTCTAGGTATAGAATCATATTATCCTCCAATAAAGATAGTTTTGCCTCTTTGTTTCCATAGTTATACTGCTTCTTTTATCTTCTTGTCTTGGTTCATTAGGTAGAATTGCCCCCAAAATGGTCAATAATAGTTGCAACAGTGAGCATTCCTGTGTTGTTCCTGATTTGAACGGGTGCGGATTTATAATGTGGTTTAAGGTAGTCTTGACCACATTTAGGTAGTTTTATTTTACATAGAGGTTTTTTTTTTTTTTATCAGGAGTGGATATTCAATGATAGGAAGTGCATTTTGATATTCCTTGATACGAAAAGGTGAGTTTGCCTCCTTTATTTGTTGATGTAGCATATCATTGATAGATTTCCTAAAGCAAAGCTATTCTCTCATTTGTAGACTAAAGTCTACCCATTCATGTTTTCTTACTTTCTTAATACATTGGGTTGTGTTCAGTGTGCCAATATTTTATTTGAAAGTGTTCTGCATCCATATTTGTATATGTAATTTCCTATTTCTTTCTTTCTCCCGCAATTTTGGTAAGATTTTGGTATTAATGTAATGTTGGCTTTTAAAAGTGAATTTTGGAGTTTTCCACATTTTCCGTAGATTGGAATTTCTTCAATAAAGAGATGGTTAATTTTATGTGTCAACTTGGCTGGGCCAAGGTGCCAGGTATGTGGTCAAACATTATTCTGGATGTTTCTGTGGGGGTATTTTTGGACAAGGTTAACATTTAAATGGTGAACTTTGAGTAAAGCAGATCCTCCATAATGTGGATGAGTGTCTTAGTCGGTTTTCTGTTGCTAAAACTGAATACTAGAGACTGGGTAATCTATAAAGGAAAGACGTTTATTTCTCATGGTGCTCGAGGCTGGGAAGTCCAAGGTTGAGGTGCTGCATCTGGTGAGGGCCTTCTTGCTGGTGGAAACTCCCTGCAGAGTCCCAAGGTGGTGCAGGGCATCCATGGTGGGGAGGCTGAGTGTGCCGGCTCATCTCTCTTCCTCTTGTTATAAAGCCATCAGTCCCAGTCCTGGGGCAACCCATTAATCCATGAGACCACTAATCCATGAAAAGAATTCATCTATTCATAAGGACAGGACCAAATCACCTACTAAAGGCCCCACTGTCACATTGGGGATTAAGTTTCTACATGAATTTCAGAAGAGACAAACATTCAAACTATAGCAGTGACCTCATCCAACCAGTTGAAGGCCTGAATAGAACCAAAGACTGACCCCACCTCCCAATCCCCCTCCCCCCACCAGTAAGAGGGAGTTCTGCAGCCACGACATTGAACCACAACATTGACTTTTCCTGGGTCTCCAGCCTGCTGGCCCACCCTGCAGATTCGAGACTTACCAGTCTCCAAAATCACATGAGCCAGTTCTTTAAAATAAATCTCTCTCTTTCTCTCTTTCTCCATCTTATTGGTTCTGTTTCTCTGGAGAACCCTGACTAATACAAACAAGATAAGTCTTTGATTTTTGAAGGTAAGTGGAACTAATCACAGACATGCCAGAGTCTCGCACCTTTGACCTTTGAAAATGGCAGATATTTAATCATCTTTCCAGCCTAGTCTGCGGTTTCCAGTGCTGGCGGTTCCCTGTCAGTTGTCATGGTCTCCTTCATGTTGGCCAGAGTCTGGAAGTGTAACACCCCCAGATGTGTTCAAATTGGTCCAACTGCTGGATAATGAGTGGATGGAACTTCCACTCTTGCCCAAGTTAGGGGAGGGGGTGAATTTCCTGAGTGAGCTCCCTTTGGGGAGAATTGGGGATACTCCAAGAGTGGTAAAAACCCTGAGTGGATTCTCCAAGAGAAGAGTGGCCGTTGCTGACCTCGTGGCTGGCCTTCAAGGCCCGACTTTAAAGTGACTGCAAAATGAAATGCAATCCACAGAAGAGAAGAAGTTGCAAATGGTGGCAAGCGTAAGAAGATATGCTCAGCCTCATGATGCCAAAGCAAGTCCAAGTTCACACAGCAATGAGCGCATTCTGTGGAAACTGGCAGGATTTGCCTACAACTGCTGTTTCTCAGCCAGCGAGGGGAGGGGTCTACAACCCAGATGTGAGGGTAAATTTGAACAACATTTTAATTTTTTTATTTTTATTTTTATTTTTTTTGAGACCAAGTCTCGCTCTGTCGCCCAAGCTGGAGTGTAGTGGCGTGATCTCGGCTCACTGCAACCTCTGCCTCCCAGGTTCAAGCGATTCTCATGTCTCGCCCTCCCGAGTAGCTGGGACTACAGGCACCCGCCACCACACCCGGCTGATTTTTTTGTATTTTTAGTAGAGACGGGGTTTCACCATGTTAGCCAGGATGGTCTCGATCTCCTGACCTCGTGATCCACCCGCCTCGCCCTCCCAAAGTGCTGAGATTACAGGCGTGAGCCACCGCGCCCGGCTGAACAACATTTTTAAAGCCGGTTTGGCAATTTCTGTCAACATTTTAAATGTGCATACCCCATGACCCAGCAATTCCTCTTCTAAGAATTTCTCTTATAAAAATGCCTGTGCAAGAACGCAAACATATGTGTACAAGAATGTTCACATGACAGCATTTGAGACAGCAAAAACTGGAGACACAAAACATCCACCTTAAGAGGAATAGTTATGCAGATTGTGGAATCATCATTATAATGGAGTCTTATGCAGTTATTAAAAAGAACAAAATAGGTGTATGTGTAGGCAGGGAATAATCTCCTTGACATTTTGTTGAATAAAAGAATCAGCCTTCAGAAAACTATGTATGGTATGAAGCATTTTTGTTAATTCTGTGTGTGTGCTTATGTGCTTAGCAAAATGTCTAGAAAAATAGATGCCAGGCTATTGAAGTGGTCACCCCTGGTAGTGTGATGGGGTAGGGGAGGGGGATGAGGAGAAGGCTTTCTATTTTATTGTATACATATCTCTATTACTTGACTTAAGAAATGAGCATATATTACTTAGTCAATAAAACAAAAATATTTTTTAATGCTTGCAACAAAAATGCTGATGGAATTTTAAACCAGGAGGAGCAATGTTAAGGCTTCCTCACTCTGGGAATTGGACTAAAGGTGACTTAGTCTTAAAGGCAACTAGAAAAGGCATTAATTCTATTAATTAATGCCTCAGCGATTTCCATCTCAGCAAAGATGTCTTAATGAGGCGCTCGGGACACCCATTATTTATCTTACAAATGCAGCTCCAGGGTCCTGCCCATGTCAGGCAGTGTAACACACGTCCCCGCGGAGGGCTGGCGCTGCAGAAGCTCCCGGTCCACCCCCTCCTGCCCACACCTGGCCTCACCCTCCCCATCTCTTCGAGGATGACCTCTGTCCCAGTCCCTTGGACCCCGACTCCTCCACGATCTGGCCCCTCCCCTCATACATTGCATTTCGGGACCCCCGCAAAGGAATCACTTCAGCCTGGACTGCAAACCGCACTCCTACACCTCACTATGAGCACCTTGGGGGTGTCCTCCAACACCCCCCGCCCCGCCCTCTCTCTCCTGGTCTCCTTTCGTTCGAGCTGATGAGGAACTGACGACCCAGAGTCGGCCTGTGTGAGGCCCGTACAGGTGGCTCCCGAAGTCTTTAGCGGCACAGGGTCGGTCCCTCCAGGCCGACCTGGTAAAATTCCCGCATCTCCCGCAGGCCGCCCTTCTCTGGCCCCTGGACCCCGGGCTCCTGGCCCGCGCGCACCAGGAGCTGTCCGCGGTGCTGACCGCAGGCGCTTCCCGCGCTCGGCCGATGCGCACGCGTCCCGGGAGGGGCGCGCGGGACCTGCCGGCGCCGCCACTGCGCAGCCTCCCGCGGCCTCCCCGCCCGGCGCAGCCTCCCGCGGCCTTCCCGCCGCCGCTCTCGCCCGGGCCGGCCATGGCGCTCAACAATTTCCTTTTCGCTCAGTGCGCCTGCTACTTCTTGGCCTTCCTGTTCAGCTTCGTGGTGGTGGTCCCGCTGTCCGAGAACGGCCACGACTTCCGCGGCCGCTGCCTGCTCTTCACCGAGGGCATGTGGCTGAGCGCCAACCTCACGGTGCAGGAGCGCGAGCGCTTCACGGTGCAGGAGTGGGGCCCGCCGGCCGCCTGCCGCTTCAGCCTGCTCGCCAGCCTCCTGTCTCTGCTGCTGGCCGCCGCGCACGCCTGGCGCACGCTCTTCTTCCTCTGCAAGGGACACGAGGGGTAAGTGGGGGCCGCTCCCGGCGCGGCGCCCCTTCCATGCCCCCAGCGCCCCCAGACCCACCTCCCCGGGGAGGCGCGCGAGTCCCTCCGTCTCTCAGGCAGCTCCGAGGCCCGCAAATGTCAACAATCCGCCCTCACCCCCTCCACTCAGACCGCCCTTTGTCTACACACACATCCAGGGACCATGACGACCACCGGTCCTGCGTACAAGGCCAGTGCCTCCCCTCCCCAGCTGCGCATCACCTCCCGCTTCCGGGCATCTGCTCCCTTGGGTTGCAGATGTTGCACTGTCATCACCCAGCAGGCCTGGACCTTCCTGGGCGGGCTCAGCCGGGCCACACTCGCCAGGACCGGCGACAACTCCCAGCCCGGTCTAGGGCTTGCACTGAGCTCTCCAGGTCCCAGTGACAAGGCGAACTGGGGAGCCCCACCCGGCACCATCGCCCCGGGAAAGGGACGGCAGATGGCTGTCTGGAGGGGAGCCACCCAGGCCCACCTCGAGCTCAGGCCTTGGATGGGGAGCTGGAGAGAGACTGCAGGGCGAGGGCTGTGCCTTGTGGGCTCAGCGCCTTCCTCCTCCTGGCCTGCATTTTCCTCTTTCTCTTTCCTGCTCCGGCTAGATACTGGAGCCCATACAACCTGGTTCACCTGGGGTGCGGTGACACCCTTAGCCAGTGGCACCCTGGGGGCCCTCTGGGGGCCCACCCACTCCCTCTGCAGGTGCTCTCTGTGAACCCTCCCACTCCCTCTGTGAGCCCACCCACTCCCTCTGTGAACCCACCCTCTCCCTCTGTGGGTGCCCTCTGTGAGCCCATCTACCACCTCTGTGAATCCACCCACCCCCTCTGTGAACCCACCCACCCCCTCTGTGAGCCCACCCACCCCCTCTGTGAGCCCACCCACTCCCTCTGTGAACCCACCCACTCCCTCTGTGGGTGCCCTCTGTGGGCCCTCCCACTCCCCTGGCTGAGGCCTGCTGTGCCCAGGAGCAGCCCGAGATCCTGTAGAGGTTCCGGGAGAGCACTCATGAAACCCAGGCTCCTCCCAAACTCTGCCCTCACCCCCATCCTTTGTTGTAGGTTTTCACTTCCTGCACGCAGGTGGGAGATGAGAAGGGCTCAGAGGGGTGTGGGCGGCAGGAGTGGGGAAGCCCTCCTGTTGCCCCCGCTGTGAGCCCACCGCTTGGTTTTGGCTGAGAGAGGGGCCAGAGAGGGGAAGAAGAGGGGCTTCAGGGAGAAGGGAGGGAGCCAGGGCTATGCTGAGTGGGGCTGCAAACTCTGGAGGAGGAATGAGAATCCCAGCGCCTGTGGGTAGGAGCGCCCTGGGGCTGCTGCAGCACAGTTGCACCAACTGGACTGAAACCCACTTGTCCCACCACCCTCTGCCGCTGTCCTCACAGGGCGCCTTTGCTCTGCTCTGTCCTCCCTCTTTTTACAGGGACACCAGTCACTGGATTCAGGGCCCACTCTAAACTCAGGGAGATATCCTGAGATCCAGAGCTTAATTACACCTGCAAAGATGCTATTTCCAAACAAAGTCACAGTCACGGGTACCAGGGGTGGGACTTGGGCATATCTTTCGGGGGACACCATTCAACCCACGACACTAAGGTTCTGGATGGGGGTCAGTAGAAAGCTGGCTGTCAGCCTGGGAGGACCCAGGTACTGTGGGGCCATGGGCCCAAATTGTGTGGCTGGAGCCCTGCTCAAGGTGGGGTCAGGCCGGGCGCAGGGTGGTGTCCTGCCCATTTGCAGCCGTCCTCCTTCCCTCAGCCCACTCCAGGGCTGGTGTCCCAAGAAGAGGCTTGAGACGTCATCTGCACCCATGTTGCCAAACCCAAGAGTTGCCCAGTCCATGCTGTGCATGCAGGGCAGGCAGGTGGAAGCCTCCCTGAATGAGACAGGTGTGAAGAGGGAGTGGGACAGCCAGCGAGTAGGGTCAGCCTCCCAACGCTTGAGGTCCCTTTAGTCTGGGAAGCTGAGGGTGGAGGGTGCAGGCCAGGTGGGGCCACAGTTGGTTCATCGCTCACGCACTTCTTCACCTCCTGGGTGTCCCTCAGGGTGCCTGTGGTCCAGCTGGGGCTGACAGAGGGTGGCTCTCTAGATAGGACCCAGCTATGTGGTCAGAGTGATGGGAGATTTTATAGGGGGTTCCACCAGAAGCTGGGGGACAGGGAGAGGGGAGAAAAGAGCCCCAGAGCTTGCAAGACAGGAGTCCAGGTCGCACAGGGTATGGTCTATTTCGCACACACTGGGCGGCAGGCCCAGGGATGCCGTAACAGCAGCTCTGCCTCTTGCCATCTCACGGAAGGTGACTGTCTGTCAGCCGTGGCAAACTGCCAGCACCATCTCCTTCCAAAGGCAGAAAACAGATTCCTGGGGAGTCTGCAGGCCTTCCCAGCACTCTTTGTGGTGTTCCATCCTCCCAAGGGGTGGAGCCGGCTGGGATGCAGGCCAGCTGTGTGGCCTCTGCTGCAGCCCTGCTGACCGGCCCATATGGGATTTAGGAAGCCTTAGACGGCCTGGTATGCTCAGGCCTGTGGGGGTTAGGGTGAGGGTTAGGGTTGTCGAGGGGGGCTACATTGTGGAGGCTCACCATGGCCTTGACCCCACTGGAGGTCAGGTCCGGGCAGCTCCTGCTGTCAGGAAGGGGCCTGTGGCGGAGCATTTCAGGTTCAGCTCCTTTGCTTCAGTTCAGGGGTTCACCAATCCTCCCACCACTGACCTCCGCCCAGCCTGCTCTTTTCCAGGGACATCTGGTGCCTGTGTCCTTCTTGACCATCAGGAATTAGTGGCTCAGTTCACGTGGTCATGTGGCCACCTGTCCCCCACCTCATGCACTGCACAGTCCATTGGCAGACGGCTTGTGGGGTGACATCTGTCAAACGTGTCAGCACTCCATTGAGTTCTGGTTGTAGGCGAAGGTTAACGCTCTCAAGAGCCATCTCAGGCCATGGGTCCCCCCCCAGGGGACCCCACCCTAGGGGACCCACAGCTGGGTGAAGCCAAGGCAGACATGCACCTTATTCATCTCTGTGTCCTTAGGGCTGAGCACAGGGGATGGTGCGTAGGAGTCCCCAGATAATGTTTGTTGAATGACTGACAGAAAGATGCCTGGGTCCTGAGGCCTGCTGCCTTGTGGTCACTCACCTGGCCCCGATACCTGTGCAGACTCAGTTATCTGGCCAACAGGTCCACCCTTCAGACTTGCCATGTCAGGAAGTTCTGGACCCCTGGGAAGATGGGGTCTGCAGGGTCCAGCGACAGAGCAGCCAATTCCAACTCAATTGTTGGTCCAGCTGCATAGACTAGGTGAGCAAGTGCCAGGTAGGTAAAGGGGACTCAGGACCAGCCACGGAGCTGAGACGGGCCTTTACAGGGAGCTCATGTGGTGGACAAGGGCTCTCAGGGCCATCGACGGCCACTGGACGTCCAGCCCAGGGAGGAGCCCACTGACCCCATCAGACTCTGGCTGCTAGAGGTCTGGGCCTGTTTAGGACAGCACATGCTCTAACCCTCTAAAGGGGACTCCACCTCCAGGGGCCACCCGGCTGCCCTCCTGCCAGTGTGAGGGCAAGGCCTGTGTGAGGTCTGTTTGAGGGGCACATGGCACGTCCAGAGCTTGTGGAGCAGAGGCCATGTCTCAGGTGCCAGCTTCCTCTTCCTATGGGGGTGTCTTTCATGCAGAGTCTGGGCCCTGAGAGCTCGTGCCCAGAAGTGTGAAAATTAGTCTGGGGGTAGCTTTTTGCAGAGGAGTGTCATCTTGATGCTCCATTATTGGCTGCTGAGTGAATGAGTGAATGAATGAATGAATGAATGAATGAGTAAATGAATGAATGAATGAATGAATGAATGGATGAATGAATGGAATGGCACCTGTGCTTCAGAGAGGCTTGCCATTTCGGGGCAGAAGGGTTTGCTGAGGCAGCCGTGGGCCTGGGGCAGCTGTGCTGAGGGAGGATTGAGCACGTGGGCTGGCAGCAGTTTGTGGTTGGCGGGCCGGAGGGATGCTGCGTTAAACTCATCTGCCTGCCCGTGCCGGCGCTGAGCCTTCACATTGCTGGGCTTTCCAGGACAGCGGTCACCATGGAGATGGCACATCCTGGCAGGGCACCCTGAGCGGCAGTGAAGAGAGACAGGGTTAACCCTGCATGTGCCGGGCTCCTGTTCCTGACCACTGTCCTGGCCTGGCCTTGGTGAGGGAGGGGCTGGGTGGCCCTGTGACCTCTGGGGAGCTGGATCCGGGGATGCTCTGGACACATCCAATTCTTCAACGACCTGGACAGCCTGGGCAGGATCCCTGGAAACCGACCAGAAAGGAATGAGAGGAACAGACCGAGGCTGTCAGCTGGCAGCGGCCCCAGCCTGGGGTCCCTTCCCTATCTCATGGGGAACTCCTCGATCTGGTCATGGGAGAAGACTCCAAAATCGGGCCATTTCATAGGGGTGAGGCTGGATGTTTGAAGTCTCCAGATAATTGGCTTTTCTGTCTGTTGGAGGTTGTGTTGTGGCCCATGCTCAGTGGTGGGAAGGGGACAGTGGGTCGCCTGGGCCCAGAGCCTCTGCCGTATCTCAGGTGCACTGGGCCAGGTATTTGCAGGCACCAGGGTCTTTCAGGGTCTGAAAGACCCTGCTCTTCAGAGTGCGTCTCCTTCTCCATTCTCTCTCTGGAGGCTGAAAGGTGTGGACCATGGCAGTGGCCCCTTCCTTGCCTCTGGCTGTGGAGCTGACCCTGGCCGTGCCTCGCCACCACCTTCTCCTTGGCTGGGGCGGAGCAGCTGGTCCAAGACTGCAGAGGTGGGGCGGGCTTACTGCGTTCCGCTCTGTGACTATAGGCCCCTAGCCCCTCATTTGCACCCCCAGGCCAGATGGATTTTGGGGTTCAGAACTGTGTCCTCAGGGTCCCAGCAGCAGCAGATGGCTCACCCAAGGAAAGGTCATTGAAGGAGGGCTGGTTGACAAGAGATGAAGTGGTGGGGTTCATGGGGTCAGTGGAGGTGGTGCTGTCCCCATCCCTGGCTAACGGGACCTGGATGGGTGGGTCACCTGGAGAGGAGCAGTGACTTTCAGTGGAGGGACCTGGTAGCAAATTCCCACCTTGCTCTCCCGCCCTCCCACCCCATTGCCCAAACCCAGCCGGAAGCCAGAGGGCACGGGGCCATTGCCATGGTCCACACCTTTCAGCCTCCAGACAGAGAATGGAGAAGGAGACGCACTCTGAAGAGCAGGCGGGAGACACTGGCACATGGTGATTCAGGCTTGGGCAGGGCGGATGGAGCCAGTCCCATGTGTGACAGCTCTGAGACTCACAGCACACTGGGCTGGAGAGGGACCGAGAATGGCCCCACACCCATCCTGGCGAACTTTTGCCGCTGCTCTTTCTGTCTTCAGAGAGCTTTGGATGTGGCGCTGTGATGGGGGTTGTGGCTTGTCTACTGGCACACGGTACCCACTCTCCAGCCATCTTCAGCCATGAGGCCTGGGCAGAGGCTCGGTCACCCCCCACGCGTACGTGTGTGAGTCCTGCTGGTCCTGCCCTCGTTGGTGTGGTTGTTGGATCACAGCCCATGGCTTTAAGAGTGTCCCTGTGTCCTCTCCCCTTGTCTGGGACTCCCTGGGGTGGCTCAAACCCTCCCGTTCCTGGGGGGTGGTTCTGCTGTCAGCCCAGCAGTCACCAAAACAGTGTGTCCGGGACTGGGGCCAGTGGACGGGCTCCTTGGAGGCACCAGATGTTACAAAGCAGCCTGGTGTCGCCTGCTCTGAGTTGGGCGCTGTGGCCTGGGTTTATCCTCAGCACGTTGGCTGGGGCACCTCCCGGGGCCAGGACTTCGTCTTTTGTATCACTCTGCCCTCTGTGTCCAGCACAGGGCGAGCAGGTGCTCAGAAAGTGCCTGCTGAATGAATGAACAGACAATGCGCTGGCCTCCACTTTGCCTCATCAGCAGCTGCCGAGTTCGGATGACGGTAGCGTTGATGTTTTCTTGGCTGAGATTCCAGGGAGACCTTGTTTATTAAATGATCGCTGTGAAGCTGTTTCTGTGGGTCACCTCCCTTAGATCCAGTGTGCTGACAGCATGCAGGCTAACATCGAGCCTGCTGGCAGGTGAGAGGCGGGAGCAGCCCCTTCTCAGCCATGCTGCTAGTGCTGGTGTCCGCCCGTGAGGAAGTCCCCCTCAGGGCTCCCACTGGAGGGACAGTCCCTATCCCTACCCCCTCTCCCTACCCCCCGGAGCCTCCGTGTGCATTCCAGGCTGAGCCCACCCCAGGCCCATTCGAGGGACTTTGAATCTTGATGGAGCAATTCAGAGATGATGGACGTTTGCAGGCCAGGCAGGAGGGCCGGGTGGGGTGGGTGTCCCGACCACCTGCCCGGTATCCTCAGAAGAGGAAACACGAGCATCCTCTGAAAGCCATGGCCGTGTGCGCCCTGGCAGAGGCCTCAGACCCCTGGGGCAGTGTGGCCCAGCCCTAAGTGAGCTCCTTCCTCATGGCCCTGCCTCCTGCGCTCCCCATGCTCTGGCCCTGGTCAGATGGGCCCAATCACAGCCTGGCCTTTTAAGTTTAAATGGATAAATCAGAGCTGGCCCATCAAGCAAGTCCTACCAGGGGTCCAGGCCACGCGCTGATGACCTGCGGGTGAATGGAAGCTCTCGGCATCACAGGCTGGGGTCTTGTAAACAACAGGCATTTACTGCTCACACTTCCGGAGGCTAGAGGTCTGCGATCCAGGCTGGGATCCAGGTTCGATGCCTGCTGAGGGCCCGTTCCTCTTGCTGTGTCGTTATCTGCTGGGAGCTCGCTTGGTGGGGTCTCTCCTAGGAGGGCACTCATTTCATTCATGAGGCTTCACCCTCATGACCTCCTCTCTTCCCAAAGGCCCCACTTTCTAACCCCTCAGTGGACTGGAACATATGGATTTGGGGGGACACAAGCACCTGGGCCAGAGTTGCTGGTGACTGTGGCTGGACGGCTTTGGAAGGGTGTCATTCACTTCCACCCTGGGTGCAGCCTCTTTTATGAAATGGTGGGGACCAGGGTTCCAGGTCCTGGGTCTTTGGGAAGGTGTGACCTGCAGCCCAGGGTGGGCACACGGAGCTGCCCGAGGGACCGCAGGCAGGGGGAACAACTCCTTGAGGCCCCACAGGGCCCAACCCAGGAATCCTGAGGGTCCGGGGGGTGCTGCTGGTGGGGGTTGCCCAGGAGATGGCGTCCAGTGAGCCTGCCCCTCCTGTTTCTGGCTGCAGCCTGGGGGCGGGGGTCGCCTGGGAGGTGGTGTCCAGTGAGCCTGCCCCTCCTGTTTCTGGCTGCAGCTCCTTCTTCTCCGCCTTCCTGAACCTCCTGGTCAGCGCCTTCGTGGTCTTCCTGGTCTTCATTGCCAGCACCATCGTGAGCGTGGGCTTCACCATGTGGTGCGACACCATCACCGAGAAGGGCACCGTACCCCACAGGTGCGCCCGCCCCACCCGCCTCGGCCTCCGCCCACCTCCCCGGAAGATCCCTTGACACCCTGCCCTGCTGTGGGTGATCTTCCCTCACGAAGCCCATCCTGAGTCTGCGGTCCCTGGTCCCACTGTGCACTGTGCCCCTGCCTGTGCATACCTGTGCAGCCCCTTCCCTGAGACCCACCCTGCAATGTCAGACACCTTCCCGCCCTAGGAGCCGGCAGCATCACACGTCACACAAGAGCGATCATCCCTAGGGCTGGATACAGCTGGGGGTGGCTCCAGGTGGTCAGGGACTCTGGCTGCCCTGTTCTTGCCACCAGGGCTTAGATGACAGATCCCGTGCAGCATGGCCCCGGGTCCTGGGAGGCTCGGTGTGGCCACACAGCCGGAGACTGTGGGGCTTCTGTCCTGTGCTGGCTGCATGGGAGAGCCCAGGGAGCATTAGGCTCAGGGCTTTGGTCCTCATGGTGAGGAGTTTGGAAGATGGTGGAAGGGACGGGGATGGTGAAGAACAGGAGCAGAGGAAGCTTCTGGCAGGGTGAGGGTCAGCTCCCAGGCGGGTTGGGGATGGAGGCCTTTGAGCCATGGTGGTCCCTCTGGGATCTTAGCAGGGGCATCATCTGGCTTGTGGGGGGCCCCAGAGTGGAGCACAGTGACTGCCTGCCCCCCACAGTGGGATGCCCCGCCCTGAGGGGCACCATGCAGTGCCCCAGGCCAAAACCCTGGAAGACAGGAACCCTCCAGAGTTTCCACATTCTTCCTTTAAGCAAACCCAGACCTGAAACCCCAGCATCTGCAACAGATGCAGCAGAGCTGAAGGGGCTCCCTGCCTGTCTGTTCCGTGCCTCCACCCTGGGGTAGCTGGGGCACAAACCAGAGGAAAGCAGGAGCACCTGGGTGTGTGGCCCTGCAGGGCCTCCTGTGCTGAGCTGTGCCCTGTGCCTCATCGTGCACTGTCCCAGCTCTGCCTGCTGGCTCGGGCCACCTGCTTCCCAAGAGTGTGGGCAACCTCTGGTACACACGCAAAGTTTCCTTGGCCTCACAGACACTGTTTCCAGCCCTTCAGCCCCTCCAGGGATTTGGGGCCGCTGGGCCCCCTCTTTCTGGCACCCTGCTCCTGTCAATGTGTCCTGGCTTCACGTTTTATGTTGGGGGTGCAGGACACCTACCGGGAGCCCAGGCCTGGCTCACTCCTGGGCCCTCTGATGCCCACTGCTTCCACAGATGCCTCCGTGATGGGGGCAGAGCTTCTGGGCAGCGTTGGTGGGGATGCCACCTCCATCTCTGTCTGGCTGAGGCAGCCCTGCATCTCCTGCCTCTGAGACCCTGTGACCCTCAGAGTGTGGGGCATGGGGGGCAGAGGGTCCAGAAAAGCAGAGGCTGAGCTGGCGTCTTCCGGCCGTCCTGGGTCAGGACAGGGAGGGGCCTGGCCTCTGAGACCCCGTGATCCTCAGAGTGTGGGGCATGGGGGGCAGAGGGTCCAGGAGGGCAGAGGCAGAGCTGGCGTCTTCTGGCTGTCCAGGGCCAGGACAGGGAGGGGCCTGGAGGTTTCCTTCCCCAAAGGCTGTCCTGCTCCATGGAGGAGGCATCGAGGCTAACCCTCCGTGATGTCCCCAGAGACTCCCTGCTGCCCACCCCCTCGCCCAACAATTGTAGGGCAAAGCTCCTGGCTCTCTGGCCAGCGGCTCAGCCATGTCCCGCACTGGCTGTCCTGGTGGTCACCCTCCACCCTATGTCCTGCTGTTTTAGCTGTGAAGAGCTCCAGGACATCGACTTGGAGCTGGGCGTGGACAACTCCGCCTTCTACGATCAGTTTGCAATTGCCCAGGTAGGGGGCTCTGGGCAAGAAGGGAGGCTTGCAATGCTGGGAGGGGGCCATTTACTGCTGGACATTTGCTGAGCTCTCCCCCATCCAGAGGAGGAGGCAGGCTCCTGTGTGGATAAGGTAGTTAGCAATGGGACCAGGCAGTGGGAGCAGTCGGGAAGGCTTCCTGCAGGAGGTGGGGGAGAGCTGGGCTTTTGTAGGTGGGTTTGGGGAGGAGATGGCCACAGTGAGTTAGAATCAGGAAGTGGCAAGGCCCTGGGGTCTGGGGTGGGAAGTGTGGGGGTGTGGGGGGAGGTGGTGCCAGAAACGAAACCAGGCATCAGATCCTGGGGGTCCAGTGTAGGGACAAGGGCTTTGGACTTTGGTGCTGGCGCTGGGTGGGCCTGTTCAGATCAGAGCTGGAGGCTTAGAGGAGTCCCCTAGCCAGGGGGAAGCTGATACAGAGTCCAAGGAAGGAGGCAGGGGATCCCACTTGTGAATTCAGATTTGCCACCCTGCCCTTGTATAAGCTGCGTCCCCCGCCCCCTAGGAGACTTGGTGGAGGGCGATGGTGGCCCCCACTCTGAGGGACGCTATTTGCTGAAATGCAGGCATGTGGGGACACATCAGTGGCCCGTGAGGGCCGGAGGGGGAACCCTGGAATTGGGTTTGCCCCTTGAAATCTGCAGATGTGCCCCAGACGGAGATGAGGCAGATGAGGGGTGCCGGGTGGGGGTGGCTGAGACCAGACACCTGGCTCCTGCCAGCACTGATCAGGGCCCGCTGGCTTCAGGTCCAATTCCGGACCCCAGGCTGGCCTCTGAAGGCTCTTGCTGGCCGTGGCTGGCCTGAGGACGCTTCTCCTGGCCAGGAGCCCTCCAAGGGTGCTGGACATGGGTGGGCCTGAATGCTCTTTGCCGAGATGAACTGGACCTGTCAAAGACACCTTCATGCAAATTTAGTGAGTGGAAGAGGCCTCAGGCCTAATTTGTGCCAGTTGGATTAAGGTGTGAGTGCAGTCTGATGGCAAATACGCTCAAATGAGAATCAGCTTAATGTAGCTCAGGCCTGGTTCTGATTAAATTGTTTCTCCTTCAACTGTTTGGAAACAGCGGCTAAAGGTCAATTTATTCCGGTGGTTGGAGGAGCCTCCGCTGTTTACCCGCCCTCCTTAGAGCCGACAGGCCGGAGCTGCTGGAGGAGAAAGCACTCGCCACTGGCCACTGCCCCTCCTCGGGGCCTCTGGCCGGCCTGGAGTGAGGGTTGGTCTGAGTGCCCAGGGCTTTTGCACCAGAGTGGGTTCCGGGAGGGCCACAGGTGCTGGAAAACGATGCTGGCTGCAGGAAGGAACTCAGAAGCTTGATCTTGGGCAGGGTCTTCAGGAGCTGGCCCTGCCCCATGTCCCCGGCCTCCTCCTTCCTCTGAGTCCTGTCCTTTCCCTGCAGAGCAGAGCCTGGGGGCTGGTGGGAGGGGGTTGCACTGACAGCGGACCCCCAACGGCTTCTGACCCTGACCCTGCCCTCTGTGCAGTTTGGCCTCTGGGCCTCATGGCTGGCCTGGCTGGCCATCACCACGCTGGCCTTCCTGAAGGTCTACCACAACTACCGTCAGGAGGACCTGCTGGACAGCCTGATCCACGAGAAGGAGCTGCTGCTGGCCCGGCCGTCCCCACGCACCTCCTTCCAAGAGGAGAAGAGCGCTGTCATTTAGGCACAGTGCAGGCAGGGGGAGCTGGCCCCGACCTCCCTGCTGCGCTCGGGGGCACGGGCCTGCCTGGGGAAGCAGCTGGGGGGCTCTGCCTGGGCCCTGGCCACATGCAGCCCTGCGTGTGTCCCCTCGACGCCACGTGTAGTGAGGTGAGCGCCCCAGTGCCCACCTGTGAGCCTGGCAGTGGACTGGGTGGGTGCCGGCTCCCTGATGAGGATGGTGCAGAGAGACTATGGGTGTGGGGCGGGGGCGGGGGGCACCTCCAGGCCTCGCACAGGGCCCCTTGGCTGTCCCAGTAGGACCTGACTGGCCAGCCTATGTGGAGGGCGTCCAGCTTGTCTCCCCCAACCCTGGCCGGATGCTGTCTCCATGCCAGCTGGCCCAGGGGTGGCCAGATGTCACTTAGCCCTGAACGAATTCTGCATGAATTCTGCCATCCAGGCAGAGGCTGCGTGTGGGGAGGAGCTCACGGCACCTTCCAGCCTCTGGCCCCAGGTTGGCCCCCTCCCCAGCTGAGTCCCCCTCCTGGGTGGGTGCCATAGGCCTGGGAGACCCTGTGGCCGGGCTCAGGGAGGCTTCTGAGGCCTGTGAGTTCACCTCACTGTGTGTGGGTCCTGTCTGTGCTTGGCTGAGGGTCAGGGAAGTGGTAATCTGGGCTCCACAGAATCGGGGGCATCATCTGGTTGGGGATTTCGGGGGCACACGTACCACATAGAGGACTGGGCCAGGAGCCATGGCAGGGGTCTGTGTGTGGGTGAGTATGGGAGGATGTGATTGTGAGTGCCTTTGTGCATGGGAGGGTGTGATTGTGTATATGAGTGCATGAGAGGATGTGACTGAGTGTGCATGTGTGGGTGTGACAGTGCAGGTGTGACTGCATGTGAAGGTGTCACTGAGTGTGCACGAGAGGGTGTGACTGCATGTGAGAGTGTGTGACTGCATGGGAGGATATGAGTGTGCATGAGTGTGCATGTGAGGGTGTGACTGAGTGCATGAGAGTGTGACTGCCTGTGAGTGAATGTGTGACTGCATGTGCGAGTGACTGCCTGGGAGGATGTGATTGTGCATGAGTGTGCATGTGGGTGTGACTGCATGTGAGGGTGTGACTGTTGTGCGTGTGAAGGCTTGATTGTGAGTGTGCCTGGGAGGATGTGAGTGTGAGGGTGTGACTCCCTGTGACATGAGTGTGCATGCATGTGAGTGTGAGGAAGAGTGTGTAGGTGTGAGTGTCTAGGCAGGTGTGTCTGCAGTGTGTGCAGCATGTGCGTAAGTGCATGTGAATGTGCGTGTGTTGCATGTGAGCATGTGCACGCCTGTGCGTGTGAGCATTGTGTGCGTGATGGGAGCCGTGGGTGCTGTGTGGACAGCCCCTCTGCCCCTCCCATGGGCTCCCACGCCCAGCATCCACCTGAGAGAGGAGGGAGCTGCCTTCCCATTCTGCAGAGTCTGTGTGCTGAGGCCCCGCAGAAGCAAGTGGAGGAGCTGGGATGTGAACCTGGGACCCCGGCGTAGGGGGCTGCTTGGCTGTGGACCCTGCCCCTCAGGAAAGCCCAGGGTCCACCTCCAGAGGACTCGTTCTGGGGCGGGGGCGGAGGCGGGGGGCCTCCCCACCCGGGGCTCGATGAGGGGCTGTCCGTTTCTTGGCTCGAGTGCTGCCAAGTGCTCCCTGCTGCTGCGCCCACCTTCCCGGGGAGAGGCGAGCCCCTGGCTCCCTGAGTTCATGACCCACCCTGTCCACCATCAGCAGCTGGCTTGTGTCTCTGGGTGGCTGGGCACCAGCCTCCTGGAGGCCACGTGCCTGGGTCCACATGGAGGGTCCTGGTGGGGGCATCATCCTGGGTCCCGGGAGTGAGGCTGGCAGGTGCCCATCGGGGGTGTCAAGTCCAGGGGGATCGAGGCTCTGGAAGCTCAAGGGGGCTCTGGCCTTGGGGACCAGCTGAGTTTCCAGCTGGCAGCCAGGTCCTCGAGGGAAGGGGTTTGGACAGAATCCGAGGCCCCCTAAGCTGATGGGGTCCCCTGTCTCCCCTTCCAGCCCTGACCCACTGGACATGGGGACTCTTTCCAGTCCGGAGAGCTCCTTGTCTGTGTCCCCAGCAGAAGGTGGGGTGGCTCCTGCCTCACCCTCTGCCCAGCCCTGATCCAGGCCACAGCCATCTAGGGCCCTGAAGGAGGGGCAGGAGGCAGGGGTGGCTTCTGGAACCTGAGGCTTGGCCCCGGTTGGGTCTGTTCTTGGGGGCTGCACTGCTGGATCCCAGGAGCAGGTGTGGAACAGCCCCATGGCCAGGGTGATGGAAATCCTCGGCTGCATGCAGACATAGACCCACCCTGGACTGGGCTGTCTCCGGAGCCCAGACACATCGCCCTGGGAAGGGGCAGCTGGGCCTGCAGTGTGCTGGGCAGGGGCTGGCGGCCCTGGTCGTGGGCTCTCCAGGGTCCCTCAGGGGATTGGGCCTCTCCCCAGGCAGGAAGGTGGGAAGTGCAGGCATGACCCGGGGTTCCTGAGGCTGGTCCACCAAGTTGCTTCTGAGACGCCTTCGCTTCTGTCCTGGCTGGCTGTTAATGATATCCCTGTTCTAATTCCACTCTGGCTAAACTGAAAGTAAAGATCCTTAAGCTTACATGTGTCTATTCCTCAAAATCAAAATAAAAACAAAAGCACCCGAGTCTCCAACAGGGATGAGGAGGAGCGTGTGGGGCTTCTGTCTGCCCTCTCCGCTGTTGGCTGGCCTGGCTCGTGGTTCTAACTGTCTGTAATTTGTGGGTCACACACAGTTTGCTCAGGCTTTGAGCCTTTCGTGTCCGAAGCTTTTAGGAATTAGAAGTTGGCCTTCCCGAGGTTCTGCCTTCCTCTCTGTACATTTTCTAGTGGCTTCGAGTCTCACTGCTTCCCATGCAGCTTCCCCAGGTGGGAGGATCCATTTCGAAGGATCTCTTGGGGGTGTGGTGCCCATCTTTGAGCAATGTTTATTCGAAAACACCTGAGGTCGTAGCGTGGGACCCCGCAAAGCCAGGCACGTCCTTGCGTTGCCTTTGCAGTGGACAGACAGCAGCGGCTGGGGGAGATCGGCCTGTGCGGTGTCCCCCGTCAGAACCGGGGCTGGAGGGGTGTCCCAAGCACACAGGGCTGAGCCTGGGCCTGTGACTGCTCTGAGAGACCCAACCTCTGGGAGCCGCTGCTTCTGCATCCAGAATATGGGGCAGGAACCTGCCCATCCTCCTTCCTGGGGTGGGGTGGGATGGGCTGGGCCTGGGGAGAGATGCTGGAGGGTCCCCGGGGGAGCCCCCACCATGGTCCCTTCTGGGCCACTTCTGGAAACAGCCCCTTTTGTTACCTCCACCCGCAACTCTGGGCTCCCTGGATTCCAAAGCTGGAAGTGACCCTGGAGACCACTTCACCTGTTCCCTGGCACCTGGAGTTGCAGGGACACACCCTGACTGCAGGGCAAAGGGAGCCGGCCGGGCATCCCTCAAGACCCAGGGGCTTGGTCAGCCCCTGCCCGAGTGGACACATCCACTCCCAGGCCTGCAGGAGATGGGGAGGTTCCAGGCGCCCAGGACATCCGCTTTGGCCACTGAGGCCGATTCCTTAGCAAATCGGTTCTGGTTTCTCTCATTTCTATAAAAACACCAAGACTGAAGGAAGCCACGGTGTGTTTTAATAAAACAGTGTCTCCCAGTTAAGTGGTGGGACAAACAGGAACCACCGGGTGGATGGTCGGCCGTGCCCACCCGCCTCAGGCTAACCTCGAGGACGCTGGTCTGATTGTCCCTGTGTCTCTCCTGGGCAGTTCTGCCTGGTGTCTAACCGTGGGCCTCCCTGCTTTGTTCAGCCCTCCCCCCACGTAGGGTCTGGAGAGGCCCCTGGTGTTTGTCATCCACAGGGCTCCCTTCAGCTCTGCAATCCGGCGACAAAGCCACAACCACAGACGGTCTCCGGGACCCACAGGCCCCAGCTGGTGGGTGGTGCTGGCTGGCCCCGGGCTCAGCTGGGTGTGCCTGGCCTGCAGAGCTGGGCACAGATGGCTGTTCTGAAGGTCGGGGGTGTCTGGGCCCCTTGCTGTCCCCTCGGCTTCTACACCTGAAGCCGCCCCTGATGAGGGGTCCTTCCCTGGGGCCTCTCCAGACTCACGGGGCTGGGTAGGGGGGTCAGACCTGGGCTCAGAGGATGGCACCTCACATCAAAGGGACCCACCTTGACAACCAGACCCTTCCCTCCCCGTGGGGTTTCGAGGTCTGGATTCCCCACAAGCCATAATCGCAAAAGGCTGGGTTTGCCTCCTCCGAGCAGCCCCTTGAACACGGGCAGTGTGTCCCCCTCCTCAAGAGGGTGCACACGGTGATGGCCGGGCCAGGCCCTAGCAGCAGCAGGAGTTCCTGCTGGGACGAGGGAGGGGTCTTTGGGTGAGCCTGGGGAGCCTCAACTGTTAGCAGTCGAATCCTCTTTCTAATAAAATCTCACATGGACCCAACACAGGAGACAGGAGGGCTGTGCTGACTAGTGTGGCGGGGCCGCCTGCTGTGCCCCCCATGTCCGATCTCACGCCACGGGGTCCCCCTTTTCCTAGTTAGCCCTCAGGCAGCAGCCCCTTTTGGCCCCCATGATTCACCAAGCAGCAGGGCCAGGGCTCAGGCTGTCTCGGAGCCCCCGGAGTGCTTGAGCTCTCCTGGAAGCCCTGCCCGTCCTGCCCGTCCTGCCCGTCAGAGCCGCAGGAGGCCGCGCCAGCAGGTGAGGGCCACGTGCCGCAGGTGCAGGACAAGGCCGAGGAGCCGGGCCCGCAGGTCCTCCAGTGCCGTTGCCACGGGCTTGGCCCGGCCGCAGTATAGGCCCAGGGCCAGCACGAGCAGGACGCACACACACAGCTGCAGGAGCAGGGAGCCGCCGTGTGGCCTGGGCCGGCCGGGCACTGCGGCCAGAGGGCAGGCAGGGTCAGCGCCAGCCAGCGCGACCCTTCCCTGGAGGACTGGGGCTGGTGGGGAAGGGATGGGGAGATTCCACCCTGTCCATGCCCATGGCCCCTCCCTAGCCTCTTGGGGTCTCCTTGCAACAAGAGCTCCCCAACTGGGGACTCCTTAGAGGCCCTGGCCCTGTGACACCTCCCTCGGGGAGGGAGTGAGGGTGGGTGCACCCACGGAGGGGGCAGTGGGGCACAGGGATGTGGGCTCAGAACTCACCCCTGACAGTGGCTGTGGCGTTCTTGTCAGCAATGTCTGCGAAAGAGAATGGAGAGTCAGCTGGGGGCACCTGCCTCAGTCCATCGGGCGCCCCCGCCCTCTCGTCTCACCCTGCACCCCCGAAGGACCCTGAGACTATTCATCAGTGAGAGACCCAGGCCCAGCCGGTCCTGACACTTCCTCAAAGGGACAGTCATGATTTGAGAATCCGCCCTCATGTTCTCCTCCAGTTGCTGTTTCATGGACCGGGACTGTGTGTCCAGATGACCCCAGGGGCCCAGGTCTTACAGGGGTTGTGGCACTGAAGGCAGGTGGCCACGGCCCCCCCATGTCCTGGGCCCTGCCAGAGCTGTGTGGGTGTGGCCGGTGTCCCCGCCTCCCTCTGCTTGACTCCACCCTCTCCCAGCTGCTTGCTGCGGGTGCCCTCTTACAGTGGACGGTCACCGCTGGGGGTTCTCGGAACCACACGCGCCTCGAGGTCCTCTGGGGCTTGGCCTCTGGGCGGTGGTGCTCCGGCCGGCTCCGTTTCAGGATGGAGGGGGGGCACTTCCTGTTGTCCTCCTGGTGTGGGGGCGGGAAGCAGACTGGTGAGTCCCCGGCGGGAGGCCGCTGGTACCCAGGTCTGAGCCATGTGGGGCCCAGCAGCACCGTCCTGGAACCTGTACCCTGTCCTGGCTGGTGCGCTATGCTGGGCCTGTCACTTCCTGTAGGGTGAGGGGCAGCTCCTGGACAGGGACTGCAGGGCAGCCAGACTCAGCCTCAGGGGCCCAGGCAAGACAGGAGCCCCTCCTGACCCCGTCTCTTCACGCAAGTCCCCACTGAACCTCTCTTCGTCTGCCCGCTGTCTCGGATGCAGGCTGCTGGACAGGGTCCCCAGGACATGTGGACAGGGGGAGGGGGCTGCAATGGCAGAGGGGCTCTGGCTAAGGGGCCAGAGTTTGCAAGCTCTATGGGGCAGGGGCCGGGCCAGGGCCGTGAGGAGGGCTGGTTGGTGGCCTCGGCCTCCTTTTCCCTGGGGCCGAGCCTCCCAGGCTGCAGGCGGGGGCAGCTCCTACACATTTGCCTACCTGGGCCCTTTCTCTGCTGGTCTGCTCACGTGTATGGGCCCAGCCTGAGTCTGGAAGATGGAGTGGGAGTTTCGGGCTGCTGTGAACCTCAGCATCCTTGTCTGTGACATGGTGACAACTGGGGCTGAGGCACCCTGGGAGCCGGGCCAGCTCTGAGGTTGTTCCTGGCTGGGGCATTGCTCGCTGTACACAGCCTGCTGCTCGGCATCTGGCGAGGCTGCCCCGCGAGGGCGTGAGGCCTGCCCATGCTGAGTCTGGCCCAGCTCCTGCTGTGCCTGTGGCATGCCCCAGCCTGGCAGTGCCTCAGAGGCTGGATGGAGCCTCAGGGTCTGAGGTCTGGGCCCCTAACCCTAACACTGACCCTTGGTGACAGTCTTGACCTGTCCTCTCTCCACCCTCTTCCCTCCTCCAACACCCTCCTCCCTGAGCTGCCTCTTCCACAGCCCTCCATGGCTCCCACTTCCTCTGCCAAGCTGTGCCCCACCTGGGGGCCTCCAATCTCCTCTGCCAGACCAAATCCTTCAAGGCACCCATTGCCCCCCGCTGCTCCCCCCAGCCCTCAGTGATCCCCCTGCCCTCCTCCTATCACCCCCTGATTCCTGGGGTGGAGGATGGCCTTTCCACGTCTGTTGCTCCCTGCCCCCTCCAGCCCCCAGTGGAAGGCCAGCTTGCAGAAGCTGTGTCCCAGCGGCCCGCCTTACCCTCTCTGCCCTGCACACCCGCGGGCCCCACGCGGCCTCCTCATTCTTTCTGGTCTGACGTCGTGTCTCTGGCCGGGAGTCAGGGCTCACGGCTCCTGCTGCAGTCCTCATTTACTGGAACATGGTCCTAAGATAAGCAGAGACGTTATTTATTATTTACTGCACAAGTGGCACTCAGAGGAATGAAAATAAGAGGAGGAGAAAATTCTTTCCTGGAAGCCAGGCTGGCTTCCCGGGCTTGCGACCGGCCACGCTGTTGAGCAGACACCACTTTTCCTCTGTGGTGTCCCCAGTGCAGGTAAATCCTGTTCCCTGCTCGTTCAGAAATGCCATCGCAAGCAATTTCCTTTGCTGCCACGGTCTTCATAATTATCATCTTTAATGGCTGCATAATATTCCACTGGGCCGAGGTCCCGTCACTGAAAGTCACCCTCGATGATTGGGTATTCATGAGGGTTGCATTTTAGTATTGTCATTTGCAATGTTTGGAGGTCATGGATAAGGCTGCAAGAAACATCTTTGCTTTGTCTCCTTTCGGTAGCGGGAAGCCCTGGGGCTGGGGACTGGGAATTGTCAGGGCTCTGAGACCGGGTCCACAGAAAGGCTTCCCAGAGGGTCATGCCCACCTTTTTGGGCTGGTGCTGGTGGGGCGCCCCTGGGCTCCTGGGGGCCCACCCCTCAGCACGGCTCACACTCTCTCTCTGTGTCTCTCTCTGCACCGCGCCCCCGCCGATTCTGTGTCTCTATCTCTCTGTCTCCATCTCTCTGTCCCCCTGCCTCTCTCTGATTCTGTCTCTATCTTTCTATGTCTCTCTCTCTGTCTCCATCTCTGTCTCCCTGCCTCTCTCTAATTCTGTCTCTATCTCCCTGTTTCTGTCTCTGTCCCCCTTCCTCTCTCTGATTCTCTCTCTATCTCTCTACCTCTATCTCTGTCTCTCTGTCCCCTCCTCTGTTGCGCTGGTTGCTTCCTGGCTGTGAATGGCGCCTCCTCGCCTCCACCCCCGTGTCTTTGGCGGCAGAGGCTGTGCTCTCCTCATTCGTGCTCACCGGTGGAGCCCCCCAAGTGTGAATTTTCTCTCACAGCCTTGGCAGGGTTCTTGACTTTTGGGCACTCCTCCCTACAGAGGGGTGCAGTGCCTACCAGGCATCTGTGCAGGTGCAGGTGTCTGCCTTTCAAGGGCTCTGGGGGTGATGAGCCTGCCTCTCTTGCTTCAGGTCGGGAAACTGAGGCCAGAGGGGGCTGGGGCTTCCCTGGGAGCTGATGCCAGGCCAGGTCCTCCCTGCCCTGCTCCCAGCTGGATAGGGGGCAGTGTGGGGACCTCCTGCTGCCCTTCAGGTTCTCCCCTGCCCTGGGGTCCTTGGAGGGTACTGCCGCCCCTGCCCCTCACAGGGCAGGTGTTTGCATTTCCTGAGATGCTTCCCTGGCTCCCCGTGGTCCTCCAAGGACCCTGCCCCCAAGGGCTGAGAAGGGGGAGGGTGAGAGTGAGGGGCCTACATGGTCCTCAAGGATAACTCCTCCAGGGTCCCCCAAAGGGATGGGTGCCTCAGAGGTTCAGGGCAGGCCTGTGGGAGGAGTGGTTTGGGTGGATACTGCAGTGACTCCAGCAGCCGTGTGCCGTCCTCTACAGGAGATAACAGGGTGGCCATGACCACCTCCCCAAGTGGGCATAAATACTGCAGACAAGCAGAGTGCCCTGTTAATGATGTCTGGGAGGACACTGTCTGGACGGGTTCAATTATTTCAAAAGAGAGCAATTTTCTGCTATCGCCGGATCAGGTTTTTATTGCAAATAGGGTTGTGGCAGGAGCCGGCCATCCAGGGGGGTGGCGGGGAGGGGCGGCTTATCTTCAGGACCTGCTCTCAGAGAGTGGCTGTGGGAGAGGTTGTGCTTGCAGGCCCAGCTGAGCTGGGGCCCCGTCTCCTGGGGCCAGGTCACCTGGAATGTGGGCTCTGCGTGATCCCCAGGGTTAGGGAAGCCACAGAGTGCCAGGCCTGTCCTGGTGTTTTGGGGATGCTGCCTGGCAGGGCAACCTTGACTGCCTGTCCGTAGCAGGGCTGGGGCTGGAAGGGCTCTCTGGATGCCATTGACTCAGTTTCCACCCTGGGTGGGATAGAAACTCTGCTAAAGCCCAGGGTGGGGTTGGGGGTGGAGCAGAGCCCCCCAGTGACCTCTTGGACCCAGAGCCCGGGCTCTCCCACTGCCCGGCGGAAGGAGGCTTGTGCATTCGGGGTCATTTCCTGGGGCTGCACGGCCTGGGGCTGGCTGGCGTGCCCAGGGCCACAGCCCCTTGCCAGGCGACCCTGCAGCAGCATTCCAGGGGGCCCAGCCAGGTTCACTCCTCATGGGGAAACAGGCCTGGAGAGGCTTGGGCCGACGGAGTCACGCAGGGATGCAGGGCTGGACGCAGTCTCCCCCAGCTCCTGCCAGCAGCTCTCGCTATTCACCCCTCCTTGGCCTGGGGTCTGTCCAAGGGATGGTGGGAAAACAGTGTGTGTGTGCACGTGTGTGAGTGCACACATGTGTGAGTATTCCCCTGAGTGTGCAAGTGTGAGAGTGGGCACGTGTGTCAGAGGGCATGAGTGTGCACGTGTGGGGTGTCTGTGTGTGTGAATGTGTGCATGGAGGTGTGGCTATGTGTGCATATGTGTACTTGTATTTCTGTGCGTGCATGTGAATATGCATGTGTGTGTGTGTCCATGCATGTGCCCGTGTGTGTGTGTGAGTGTATCTGCGTATGTGTGGGTGAATGTGTGTGTGTTTGTGTAGAGTGTATGTGAATGTGCAGGCGTAGGCAGTGTGTTTGTGAGGGTGCCTGGCTGTGGCATTAACCATCTGTTGCTGAGCAGCATAACTTGGGGAGGACGCGACTTCGCCTTCTGGGGCACAGAGTTCTGCCGGAATGTGGACAGTCAGGACTTCCTACGGGACAGCACCTCCCCCTCTTCAGGTGTGGGCTCCAGAGCACCTTGTGTGACCACGTGTGACCTTAGGCAAGTCTCCTAATCTGCCTGGGCGTTGGTCTGCTCAGCTGTGAAATGGGGGTGAGGAGAGCAGCAGCCTCTGCGGGCTCGCGTGAGGGTGGGAGTCAGTGCACAGACCCGAGTCCGCACCAAGCCTGTGCTCTGTGCCATCAGCCACTGTTGGCATCACTCGGGGAGGGAATGTGCCCAGGAACAGAGCTCAGGTGGCTCTGGCTGTGTCTGGACAGTCAGGACATCCTATGGGATGACACCTCCCCTCCGGGAGCCCTGGGGCCCTCTCCAGAGATGCACCTTCCCCTGGGCCACGCTCTGCTCCCAGGCAGCCTCCCTGAGCCCTGAGGTCCCCTCTCCAGAGATGCACCTTCACGTGGGCCACGCTCTGCTCCCAGGCAGCCTCCCTGAGCTCCGCGGTCCCCTCTCCAGAGATGCACCTTCACGTGGGCCATGCTCTGCTCCCAGACAGCCTCCCTGAGCCCTGCCATCCCCTCCCTAACTGGGCTTCACGCTTCCCCTTCTGGAAGAGAGGTCTGGCTCAAGTCCTGGGCTCTGTCCTTCTTTGGCTCTGTGACCTCGGGTAAGTGGTGTGACCTCCCTGGGCCTCATTTTCCCCAGTGGAAGCAGGGAAGGAGTGGCTCTGGCATGCTCGGCAGGTGGGGGCGGGGAGGCCTGGGGCCTCTGGCAGGGACAGTGTGTAACTGGAGGCCTCGTGACAGATGGGAGATAAAGGGCGGAAAATAGCTTCAGAGCCTGGACCTGTAAGTGTCCCGCTAGGCCCGCTGCTGGGGAGGGCGCGTCCACCCGAGGGGACTCTACCCCCACTCTGGGAACAGGAACCCCATGGCGCCTCCCTTGGTGCTGGGGGGCTGGGGGGTTCTTACCAGCTCCTCTACTGAGAGGGGGCACCGAGCTCCCTGGCGGAGGGGAAACTGAGGCCCAGAGAGGGAGAACAGCCTGCCAGGTTTCAGAGCCTGGGTTGGGACAGAGGCGGGAGTCAGGGCCCGGAGCTCCCAGTTGTGGGCATGACCAGCCCGTACTGCTGGTGGGAGGTGGGGCCATGAGGGCTGAGGCCCAGGACCTTGGTCTGGGGTGTGACCCTCCAACAGTCTTTGGGGGTCTAGCCCAGTACCCCAAAGACCCCACCTCATCTTGAAGCTGCTGAGAGACGTGAGGGCACTGATGGAGCCCAGCGGCCGTGGCAGTGCCGAGTCCCTCCCCCTCGAGACCAGCCTGCAGTGGGGCGTGGGGGCGGGCCAGTGGTTCTTGCCTGGTTCTGTGGCTTGGATAACGCCAAGCTCTGGGGCCCAGCCACTGCTGCTCCCTCCCACTCCTGCCCCGTCCTCCAGGACGCCGCCCGCTGGCTTCCCGCCTCCTCCCAGGCTGCTGCCTCTGCCTGGCCCGTGCCGCCCGCCCTTTTGCCCACAGCCCACCTCCTGATGTTTCTCTGTCCTCCCTGAGGGTTCCTCGGGGCGGGCAGTGCCCCCCATGCAGCAGCTGGCTCGTGAGAAATCCTGACATCCCACCCACCCCACATGGGAGGTCCTTCCTCGGCTCTGAGCGTGCGGCCCCACACTCCCGGCTCACCCCTCGCCTGGCACTGCCCTTCCTCGGCTCTGAGCGTGCGGCCCCACACTCCCGGCTCACCCCTCGCCTGGCACTGCACCCATTCACACGGCAGCCTCACAGCCTTCCAGGGGCAGAGGGTCCCGGGGCCTGAGCGAGTGCAGGCTGGGGCCAGGCTCCCTGTTTCCCTGTTCCAGGTGCAGCCTCCCCCAGGGCAACTCACTTGGGAGCTGGAGACAGGGGGCCAGGCTCCTGGGAAGCCAGAGACCTCCCTGGGAGAAGCTGGAGACTCACAGCCCCCACCCCCACCACTTACACACACACACATACATACTCTCTCTCTCTCTCTCTCTCTCTCTCTGCCCCTGCCCACCTGGGCTCCTGCTGGTGCTGTACCTCCGGGGTGGCTCAGGCCTGATCAGCCCCGAGATCCACTGGCGGTCACAGCCTCGCTGTCGCAGGGTGTGAACCAGAGCTGTTGCGGCTCACAACCAGCTGAGAAGTTTCCATTACGGCGACACTGAGCAGTGGCCTCAGCGGCCCTGAGGGCCCCGGCTGACTTGCTGCTCTCGGGACAGCCCGGTCCATGGGGAGGCCGTCAACCACGGGCTTGGTGGCCCCAGGAGGAGCTGGGCCTCCTCAGTCTCCCAGCACCTTAGTAGTTTGGCCACAGGCCTAACCCAATGGCCCTGGGGCTGCAGATGCAGGTTGTGCCTTCTTCCGGTGGAAGAAGACTGGGACCATGGACACTGCCTCGCTGGCCTTTCCTCTGCAGGGCGGAGGCAGAACACAGCCAGGCGGGGTGGCTGGGCTCCTGGGAAAAGCCTTGGCTCCCAGCCCAACGCTCACCACTGGAACCACGCTGGCAGCTCCCCAGACAACATGCGTTCTCGACTTAAGTAAGAGGGAGAACTTGTGGGGAGGCCCCTGGCTGGGCTGACCGCCCACTGGGCTTGCTCAGGTGCCTGCAGGCCCTACCAGGTAGGAACAGGAGCAGGAGCTGCCTGGTGGCCCCCTGAGGCCCCTCTCCATGCCTAGATGGGCCCTCACATCCCGAGGTGCAGTTAGGGCTCGAGGTAGCAGCAGTACCGGGTGATGGCTGCTCATCTGCTGGGTGCAGGGGCCACCCTAGGCCTCGAGAGCTCCAGACAGACAGGGCGGGGGACCCCCCCAGGCCCTTCCTCCCATATGTGGAATGGGGGCTGTTTGCCAACTGTCCAGGGCACTGCAAAGCTCAGTAGTGCCCAAGAAATGGCGTGGCGTCCAGTGCTGGGTGGGGGTCCCATGGCCACACAGGGCAGGACAGGGATTCCTTCTGACTGACGGCTCAGAAAAGAGCCAGTTCTCAGGGATTCCCAAACACTGAGAACTAGGCTTCAGTTACTGGAGTAACGAATCCATTCCTGCTAGGCTGGGCCTGCGTAGACTTGCCCTCGGAGGATGCCCCCCACCAAGGCCCTTCAGGGAAGGCTGGCTGGGTTCATGCCTGGCACGGCTGCCTGCATTCCCCTGAGAGTGCAGCCCCTTCTCCCACTGCCCAGGCTGTTTCGCGCAACATCAGGTGCCCTTTGGAAGCTCCTGTGTGGCCAGGAGCACCCCCGCTGCTAAGTTTGAAGTGGCCGTGTTCCCTGCTTCCCCCAGAGGCGGCCTGGCCTCAGTGTGGACACAGGGCCGGCCTGGGACTGTCTCCGTTTTAGGGAAACCATCAGTCCCAGGAGAAGGGGGAAGGGTGGCCACTCTGGAGCTTGTTCAGGTCACTCAGGATCATCAGTGTGTGCTCTGCCCAGTCTCTGCCCACACCTGCTGCCCAGCTGGGGCAGGTTCCCCACCTGCACCTGCCTTTGGCAATCTCTCCGCTCTGCCCAGTCTCTGCCCACACCTGCTGCCCAGCTGGGGCAGGTTCCCCACCTGCACCTGCCTTTGGCAATCTCTCCGCTCTGGCATCTTCATACCCAAGCAGGAAGTGAGCCCCCTCTCCCTGGGGCTGGAACTCACCTGGTTCCCTCCTGGCTCCCCGAGGGACAGAAACAGGCTCTTCGGGATCTCCCTGTGGGGCACAGTCCAGTGAGGTCCTGGACCCTCTTGGCCGGCAGCACCCCTCCCAGGCCCTTGAGAGTTGAGCCTCGGGCAGAACTGCAGGGCACACAGGTGAACGGGCCAGGCCCGCCCAGGCCTCCTTCCCGAGGGCTCTGATCTGGAGGCGCCACCGCCCGCTGGCAGGGCCGGGTCTGTTGTGGCCTTCGTCCCGTCTCCAGCCCTCTCTGCTGGATCGCAAAGCTGGGCCAGCTGGCAGCGGCCAGGCTATAATTACCTCTCCCCTTTGGCAGAAATAGCAGTGAACCCGAGGACAGGCCGCTGGCCCCGGAGCAGAAGGGGGTGGCTGTTTCCCAGGCCCCCGGTGGACAACAGACCATGATTTCAGATAAGACCAGAGTTTGCTGCTGTTCCTACCCCTCCCGGCCCAAATGTGCCCCCTCCCAGGTCAATTCCAGAGCTGTGCAGCTCTTGGAAAAACCTATGGATTGGAATTCGGGGCAGAGTGGGAGAGGGAGGGCACTGTGGGGCTGCGGGAGGTGAGGTGATCACAGAGTCCAGCCTCCAATAAGACCCTGACCCAGCATGGGGCCTCCGTGGTGGCGAGAGTGCCCGCCCTGCCCCAGGCCCCTGTGCCCCTGTGAGTCCTGACCTGGGGTTGCCAGAGGGAGAGGCAAAGAATGGGTCCCAAGCTGCCGTTTTGGGGCACACTGGCCGACCCTCGATATTGCCCTGGCAGGAAGGGGCAATGTATGGGTCAGTGAGCGATGGCAGGGGTGAGGGATCAGCCTTTCTCAGGGTCTGTCCTGGGTGGGCGTCCAACTGCCCTGCCTGGCGCTGCTGAGTCTGCCCCTCATTTGTAGGTGAAAGTGCAGCTCAGAGAGTTGAGGCACCCTGTCCAGAGTCACACAGCCCGGAGGTGGTAGCCTGGCTCAGGCTTGGTGGCCCGTCCTCGCCAGCCCCCCCGTCTGCTGGTGCATGTAAAGGCAGGTCTGAAAGAGGCTGGTGAGGGCATCACTGGCGCAGGGCACCACCACATGTGGGCAGACCCCTGCCTGGTTTGTGGGGCTTTGACCTGTTTCAGGGGACTGCTGGAGGAGGTGTGGAGAGACCCGTGTTTCTCCATTAGGAATGGGGGTGCATCTCCCTTGGGTAAAGCTACAGGACCCCTGGGAGCCCAGGGTGTGCCAGGCTGGGGGACAGTGTGCACAGAGGGTGACTGCTCAGGGCCAGCCGTGGGGCTGCATGGACACAGAGTCCTGGAACCCACCGTCAGAGCATGAGCAACGCAGCCACTGGGATGGGGTTCAGCAGACCGGCCCTCCCCTCACTGCCGTCTTCAGTACAGGGCATGGGGGAGCAAACTTTTCTCTTACAGGGCCATATGGCACACAGTGCGCTCTGTGTCTACACAAACGGGGTGGGCCAGATTGGCAGGAGGGCCTTGGCTCGCTGACGCTTGTTCCAGGGAGAGCACTGAGGAAGGCTGGGTGGTCCTGCTGGCAGTCTGGCTTCCTGGGAAGAGTGAGGTCCTGTAGCCAGACAAGACCCTCTCCCGCCTGTGCCCAATCTGGGCGCTTATCCTTGGCTTCCCAGGGCTGGAGCTGCTCCTCCCAGATTTCAGAGGTCAGGCTGCACTGCCCGAGGTCGGGGGGCTCCGGGACAACTCCTTCCTGACCCTTCTCATTGACAGAGGGGAGGGAACGGTCAGCCCACAGACCTTGGGTGCCGCCCCCTCTCTGTGCTCCCTGGAAAGGCGATGCGGGCTGACCCTGTGGACATTCGCTCTGGGTAATTTATTAGTGAGCTGATGGCTCGGCTCAGGGCTCAGGTCCCAGCGGGGTCATATTTCCGGCCGTATCTGATAGGGCTCGGCTGCACCCTCCTCGCCTCCGTCCATTGCGCCTCACTCCAGCCTGGGCTCTGCAGGGCAAGATAAGGCTGGCCCAGGGGAGTGCTGAGCTGCCGGGTCCGCGGAGGGTCCCCAGTGCCTGTGCCAGGCAGTGCCAGGGAAGAGCCCAGTTGTGTCAGGCCTGCCTGCAGCCGGCAGGTGGGCACATGTGCCCACGGGCAGTGGTGCCAATGACGTGGTGCCCAGGTTTGGGCCCAGCTCTGTCACTGTTCAGCCAGGTGACCTCCGCCACACCCTCATCTCTCCCCGGGAGCTGGGAATGATCGGATGCCCCACCCTCCCCAGATCTTTGTGGTGCACCCACCCTGAGCAGTGCCCCGGGAACACAGCAACTAAGGCCAGCTGTCATTCAGCGGGAGGGCGGAGCATGTCCAGTGGCTGGGCACTCCTGAGCGCTGGGAAAGTCCAGCGAGCTGGCTGGGCTGGGCTGTTTCCTTGGGGTGGTCCTGGAAGGTGGCCGGGGTGGAGTAGGGCGGCACGTGGGAGTGGAGGCTGCAGGGGCTGGAGATTGTGGCTACTCTGGTCATGGCCACGTGGTGCTGGCCTAGACTCCCAGCTCTCCCTGGACCATGGTCTGGCTGGAGTGCGGAGAGCCCTGGGCCTCAGCATGGCCTCATACATGGCTCCAGGCAGGGTCGGGGGTGGGGCTGGAGGGTGTGGAGGCCCTAGGCTGACCTGGGCCAGAGAAGAAAGGGCCGGTGGGTGGGGGAGATGGGGGTGGGGTCCACAGCTGGTTGAAGCAGAAGGACCCCAGGCACAAGAGAGGCCAGCGTTGGCCCAGGGGGTGGGAGTTGGCCGTGGCCCTCTTGCGCAGAGGCCTGGAGGCTGGCCCTTCCCCTGTCTGGCATACAGCCCGGGGGGAAATTCGTGCAGGCTGGCCGACTGCAGCACCAGGGCTTGTGGTGGAAATGGGTCCAAAGGTTCTCCAGGCGTCTCCGGGGCTCAGGGCTGCACCCCTGTCAGCTGAGGCTGTCCTGAGCCCAGCTCCCTCTGTGGTAGTGAAAACGCCCAGCTGAGGCTGTCCTGAGCCCAGCTCTCTCTGCTGCAGTGGGAATGCCCAGCTGAGGCTGTCCTGAGCCCAGCTCCCTCTGTGGCAGTGAAAACACCCAGCTGAGGCTGTCCTGAGCCCAGCTCTCTCTGCTGTAGTGGGAACACCCAGCTGAGGCTGTCCTGAGCCCAGCTCCCTCTGTAGCAGGAGGAACGCCGGGCTGAGGCTGTCCTGATCCCAGCTCCCTCTGCCGTAGGGGGAACGCCCAGCTGAGGCTGTCTTGAGCCCAGCTCCCTCTGCTGTCGTGGGAACGCCCAGCTAAGGCCGTCCTGAGCCCAGCTCCCTCTGGGGCAGTGAAAATGCAGCTGAGGCTGTCCTGATCCCAGCTCCCTCTGCTACAGTGGGAATGCATCTTTGTAGCTCTCGTCTCTGCAGTGGGTCGTCAGCTGCTTCATGACCACAGGAAACCCCCTGAGAGGGCTTGGTTGAGGGTCTCCAGCTGGGTGGGGACGGTGGCTGATGGGGTCATGAGAGGCCCCATAAACCATGACCACGGTGAGAAGGCCCTGGAGAGGACTACGGGAGAGGGCAGGCAGGGGTGGCGGTGGTGGGTGAGTCCAGGGCCGGTGGAGGCCGCATGAGCAGGTCTTTGCCACTGGCACACTCAGAGCCAGTGCTAGGTCAGGAGGGACAAGGAGTGAAGTCCTCACAGGACTTGCCACGTGGTGGTCACAGGTGGGCTTGGCCCAGGCACCCTGGGGGTTGGTGGGAGTGAAGCCTGAGGGTGGGGTCCAGGAGAAGAGGAGAGGAAATGAGGGAAATGAGGGAGGAGTGTGGGTTTGGGGTTAGAGGGGCTGACGCATGCTCTGGGTGAGAGCCGGAACCTGGGCTGGGGCTCCACAGGCACAGGCTGCTCTGCACAGGGGCTGGTGGGGGGACTTCCCACCAGGCAGAGCTGTCCATGGGAGGAACAGCCGACAGTAAGGTAGTGAGTTCCCCATCACTGGAGGCAAGCAAAGGAGGATTTTTGCCTTTGGGGACTCTTCAGGGCCCCATAGACCACGGGTGGGGAGGGAGGTGGGAGGACGGGGGAGCAGACTCTGGGCATATGGGGGTGACCTGTGACGCTCTGGCCCCTGTGTCTGCTCACTGGCCCCTGACATACGGCTGCCTGGAGAGATGCTGCTCTTCCGGCTTGCAGATACAGCTAGAGTCCTGCCCCAGGTCACGGCCCGGAGTGGGAGGTCCAGGCCCCTACCATGGAGCCTGCAGCTTGTCATTCTCAGACTGAGGCAGGGCCCTTTGACAGGGCCATGTATGGTCACCCCGTCGCCAAGTCAGAGCCCTTATTAAGAATACAGGACGCATGGGCACTGCCCCCAGCCCTGAGTGTGGTGGGGGCCCTGGGTGATGACCACACTGGTTTCCACGAGTGAGAACCATAGGCTGCTGGGGCCCCCCCAGCTCCCATCAGCTGAGATAATGGGGGCCTCTGGGCCCCGCGGAACACTAACCAAAGCGGCCCCTTTCCTCCTCCTCTATTATTCATGACCTCCAAGAGGCTGTAAAAGTCCTTTTTTCTCTACAGGAGCCATCGATACGATGACAAATTTTATCTATGAAGTTGGTCCCTCCCTGAAAGCCAGTTGGCTGTCGGGGCTGTACATAAGCCATAACCGAGCCGGGGCCCCCCGAGCTGCCTGCCACAGCTGTTTTTCCAGCAGCATCTTAGGGGCTGGCTGGAGGGGCCGGGAGATCCTTCCACCACCCCGCCTGACCTGCTGAAGGTTCTGGGCTCTGAGGCGAGGCCGTGTGGGGGTCTGTCTGGGCTTCAGTGGGGCGACTGCAGGCGTGGGCCCCGGGGGCAGCCGGTCAGCCCAGGTTCCCACTGTGGGCGCCATCCCTGGTCTCCGGGCCTGAGGACCCACCGCAGGGACCTGGCTGCGGCCGGCCGGGGCCGAGCATTCACACGTCACACACAGCCTCATTCTCACACCAGAAGCGTGCATTCTCTGTGGCGCAGGCAAGCCACACATCTGTGGACATGTGCGCCGAACTGTGAGGGCCACGCTGTCCGTGTGCAAAAGTGCTACGTGCTGTAAAATAAAAATAAAACCCTAAGGCCCCAACCGACTGAACAGGCTCCTCTTGGCCAAAGGGACTCCAGAGAAACCGGAACAACTGAGTTCCCAGTCATGATGGGACAGGAGGGCAGACGTGCCTCGCTCTCCCCCTTCCCTGCGGGAGTTCAGGCAGGGCTGACCAGTAGTGACGTTAACCTAGTGATCAGAGGACTGTGACCCTAAGACTCGAATTATAAACAGGACCGAAGGCCGCCAGCCCAGGGTCAAGTCATGCACCCCACACGCCACTGTGACCTGGTGTATCGGTTAAAAGACTTCTTAATCTTCACCGAAAACATTCCTTTCTGATGACTGCACATTTATAGACAAAGCTTTACTTCTTTAACTAATTGCAAATGAAATAATCTCTGGCCCCGCTGACGACCTGTCAGCCCCCTGCTTCAAGACACCCTGCCTTTCTGGGCTGAACCGATGTAGAAGCTCCTTGAACTATGACTGCCTGCAATTCCGTCACACTAAGGTGGGTGGGAAGCAGAGCTGGTGTCTGGCTGCCTCAGGACCCCCCACTCAGGGCTCCCTGGGTGTGTGCACTTTTTCCTGGGCCGCGGTCACTCATATTGGCTCAGAAGAAAGCTCCGTGTTCTACGGAGTTGGGTCTTTCCATTAACCATGCTCTCCAAGCGCTAGATGGGCAGAATGCATACTTGTGTGCAACGGCTTAGCTCCTCACAGGGCTTAGCTCCTCTTCCCTCCCCACCGCCTCCTGAGCCCCAGGCCTGGCCTCATTGGCAGATAAGGACAGGGGCTCTGTAGGGGGAAGCTCCTTGCCGGGCTGTGAGGCGGCAGCTTACGGAGTGGGCTCAGATCCAGGGGACTGGGTGCCGCCCTTGGTCATGACTCCCCTGCACACAGCTGCTGGGACATGGGGCACAGGCACAGGACACTGGGAAGAGCTTGGCACCAGAACCGGGGGAGGGAGGGCCCCACCCACACCCTGTCCTGGGCCTGCCACCTTGGGCAGTCAGTGCCTGGCCGAGAGCTACTACCTCCTGCCCCAGGGGAATCCTCTCCTTGCAGGGCCGTGGCAGGTTCTGAGGGGCTACTGTGTGCCTCCTTGTGAAAGCGGCAAGGTTGGGCTGGCCGGGCAGGCACACAGTTCTGGTTCACGCGGGTGCCCACCTGGCAGTGGCTGAGTGGCCCAGAGCCTGGGTGCCCAAAGTTCCCTCAGCCCAGGTGTGCCCGTCACTGGTGCTGCCCTCCCTGTTGCCGCCTGGAGCCCTCCGGCCCACTGGGGAGGGCAGCTTCTCCTGATCTTTCCACCGTGTCAGGAGCAGCTGGCCTGAAAGGGCAGAAGTCAGTGTCCAGGGCCCACAGAAACTATGTGCTGGGCAGGAGACTCTCCTGATCTTTTGAGAGCTGTGGGTACGGGCTCTGAGCTGGCAGTGATATCAGGGGACCCAGAACCCCGCTGTGGGTAGAGTAAGGGCTCCCGGAGACCTGGAGGCAAGCCCGCCCTGCAGTGACCCTGGGACCCTCAGCCTCTCGTGCCTAAGGGAAGGGGCTGCCTGTACTCTGCAGTTGGCAGAGCCTGCCCATTGGTTCCTTGACCTAATGATTATGAGCCATTTTGGCAGGAAAAAAACCCAAACGAACAAGTGGAAGCTTCTAAGACCCTGGCCAAGAGAGTCATTCCACACATCCTGAGCATCTGCAGAAATTAGGACCATCCCCAAAGACTCAAAAGATACAGGGATGGTCAGTCCCACTGTCCCCACTGTTCCCACTCTGTTCACCCATATGGTCCACAAAAACCAGCAGCATCATGGCCGATGGTGATGGATGAACCCAACCCAACGCAGAGTCAGCCCACATGGAAAATGCGCCGCCGGATGCGATACCTCGACTGAACCGAGTCACCACATCCTCTGGCCCTGGGTGTGTGCGGTGTGTCTAGCAAGTGTGTCCTTCTCAACCACCTCAGTAGAGAGGGGCCCACCCAGCTGCCTGTGAGAGACAGCAGTGCTCCAGCCACTGGCACTTTCTTGCTACTCTTGCAATCCAGTGCTCTGGGACACTCCTGGTCTGCGGAAAATGATGCTGATCAGCTACATTCGTGACGTCATGCTTAGTACGTCACATGGCAGGTGGTCCAGACCTCCAGGAACCCATGCAACAATGGTAGCCATGATTAATGGACAATGGAGGAAAAACTCTAGCCCCGGTCCCCAGGCATTTGGCTGGGGAAGTCAGTGCAACATAACATGACTGGCTGTGGCACTGGTGACCCCTCGGGTGGCCCTGAGGGCAGGGATGAGCTGTGAGCACCGCCTTGGGTGTCACTGTGGCTGAGGGAAGGATGGATGCAGGCTCCTGGGCCATGGCAGCTGGCCTGGATGACCAGGTAGGAGCCTGTGGGAAGCATAGGCTCGAGGACCAGGAGGTATGGGGGGAGGGCTGTGGGTGGGTGTGCAGGGTGGGCACACAGCTTGTGGCTCTCTGGTCCTGTGCCTGCTGGAGAGCATTGAGGGACAGGCTGGCTGGGGGAGGGGCTGCTGCAAGACACCCTGGGCAGCAGCCAAGGCCCTGTCTTGGGACACAGAGGGAAGGGATGGGTGAGACTCCTCTGCGGGGCAGTGCCTGCCTCCCCCTTGCCCCGTTCTGGGGCACATGCACCAGCAGCTCTGAGTGGAGGAAGCTGGGCAGGGCCAAGGAGGCTTGGTGGGGCCCACTCAGCCCAGGGCTTCGGGGACTCAGGAGCGGCCCCTCCCTCGTTCCCAGGGCCTGACCTTGCTCAGAGCCCGCAGGAGGCCAGCCGGGGTGGCAGGAGGGCTCCCAGAGGTGGGGCAGCCAGGCAGGGACCTGCTGACCGTGTCCTGTGGCCGGGGGTTGGGATCTTGGGCCTGGACTCCAGGGGCCGCTGCATGGGCCAACAGAGCCTTTCCCTGCCCTTTCCAGAGCCCGAGGGGAGAAGCCTTGTTCCTGAAACTGCCTTTTCCTTGCCACATCCTGTTTCCATTTCTTACGAACGACAAAATCGATTGGATGTGCCAGAAGTGCCATTGCTTGCGATTTAATGCCACCTTCCCTGGGGCTCTCGGGTCTTTCTGCAATCCCACGATGAAGCCAGCCACAAGAAGTTCAGAGAAGGTCACTAAAAGAGGGCCCGAGAAAAACCCTCTGAGGAGCTGGGCCTGAGTAGCCTCTGGCGGCAGCAGTGATGGGCTCACGACGGGGCCTCTCTACCCAGCACTGGGTGGGCACGAGGGGCCAGGCTGGGGTGCCAGGCAGGGGGCATAGGACAGTGGGCACTGGAAAGTCCGGCCAGGCCCATCCCACCACTGCACCGGGGCTGCTGCAGCCTCTGCTGGGGAGGGGCCTGAAGCCAGGGCTGCAGGAGAGGAGTGTGGGGATAAGGAAAAAAAAAAAAAAACCGAGAGAGGGAGGGCTGGGGAGGGCTGGGGAGGGAGGCCAGGGTCAGACTGAGGAGTGGGAGGTGGAGCTTAGCTCCGAGAGGAGCCACCAACCCCGTCCACAGCTTTCCGGTCTCGGATGAGAGCGTGAGGTCTTTGTACAGTCAGAAGCAGGGGGCTACACGCAGCTCAAGTGTGCCACAGAAATTCCGCTGGACCGACGCCTGTCTGTGTTTCATATGCACGCAGTCACGTGCACAACCAGGCACACCGAGTCTCACACGTGTGCACACACACACCTTCTCTCTCTGTCTCACGTCCCCCACGGGGCCCCAGCAAGCTCTGACCCCAAGAGGCTTTGTGTGGCCCCAGGCTTCAGCAGAGGTGGGCAGATGCACACGTGAGCCCCACTCTCCCAGTTCCCCGGCACGCGAGGTGCAAGCAGCCATGGTGTCTCCTCGCTCATAAGGGGAGGACCGCGATGTATGCACGTCCGGGGCCCCCAGAGGCTGAGTGTGGCCAAGTGCTGCCACTGCCTTTGTCACCAGTGCCCAGCGCCTGCCCGTCACTTTGACAAGGCCCAGCCTGTAGAACCCACTGGGGTAAACGCAGGGAGAACGCACTGTTACAAAGCCACTCTGCGACTCCTCCGGGCCTGTGGGGAGAGGGGAGTCTGCAAATAGCCACTTAGGCCAAGAATTGCTCCAGACCCCTGCAGGAGTGCCCCTCATGCTACAGATATTGAACGAGGTATCTGAGTACGCAGGGAGGTTTCTGGGCCCCACATGTGAGCCCTGCGTACACACCCCATAGCTGTGTCATGCCCAGGCAGGTGTGCACACGCGCCTGGCCCACGGGTACCTGTTCTCCTAGCATCTAGGGTACTGTGAGGTTACTCAAGTCTCCCCCTTACCCTCCCACCTCCTTTGCTCTTCTGTCTGGGGGAGAAGGCGTGTGAGTAAGTGGCCGGCGTCAGGCGGGAGCAGCAGGGGCATGTGTGTGCTGCGTGTGTGCTGCGTGTGTGCTGCATGTGTGCCGTGTGTGTGTCATGTGTAAGCTGCAGTGCCTTGCCTGGCACCACACAGGGAAGCCAGGCTCTGGCCTCCAATTTACAAGGCAGTTTGTTGGGACCCCTGAATGTTGGCCATGTACAGTTGTCCAGGTTGCACAATAAGGAACTAATTTAGGTTTACTGGAGGAGGGGTCAGATGTGCCGTGGGGGCGCCTCGATGTGGAGCACCCAGGAGAGATGTTGGAGATCAAAGGGCACAAGCAGGCTCTTGTAGGAGGAACTGTGTCCGACCCTGCTCACCATGTCCGTCGTCTGGCCTCACCTGCCCTGGCTCTGTCCCTCACTTGTGCTCCCAGCCCCCCGCAGCTGTCCCCATTCCCACGTATGGTGCTGCTGCATCCTCGGCATCTCTTCTTCCCACTGGAGTTGGAGCAGACCCACCGTGAGCCGGCACATGTGCCCACCCTGGGGCCTGGAAAACCGTGGAGGGCGGCACCCTCGCCAGCAGGGTTTGCACAGTCGCCTGGGCTTCCCCAGGAGCCCACATGGAGGTCATTCCCGAGACCGCCAGCTCCCTGCTGGGAATCACGTTTGCTTGTGAGGGATGTGTGTGTCCCGGTGGGAGAGCCATCAGGGAGCTGGGGATTAATAACCTGCACCCACTTGCCAGGTGGGAGGCCAGGAGCCCTCTGGGGTCCTGAGTGCTTCATGTTTGGGGCATGCTGCCCATGCCAGCCACAGGGATGCTGCCTTGAGACGGTCGGCGACTTTGTCATGGTGTGTGGTCTGCGGGTGCATGAACACACCCACTCCATAGCAGCCCGAGGAGCTGACGGAGGCTAATTAAGTTCTAGGCTTTATATTACACGAAATGGGGGAATCTTCTATAAAATCACCACTAAACGAAAGCCAAGTGCTGTGTGTGTGCAGAGCCGCCTATAAAGGATTCCCTGCCTGGCAGACACCGGAGAGGCTGAGGCTGTCTGGCAAATGTGGGGAGGGAGTTTATTGCTCACCATATGATAAAATAATGGAGTCATTAAGAGAAAATACTTTTCAGAGCATTAAAATTAGAGGTGAATTGATTCAGTGGTAAAACAGTCCCATTTTCCTTTTTGGGGTTTATTTAGAGCTTTTATGCGGCGTTCTCGCTATGATCCTGTTTGGAAGCCGCCCTGTGACGCGTCAGCTTCCCCGTGCTGGCTCTGGCCGCCCCGAGGCAGGACCGCTGCTGTGGATGGGAGGGTGGCAGCCTCCAGAGACCCTGCACACACCTTCCTGCTGAAGGTATTGGGGAGGCTGAGGGCAGGAGGGGCTTTCTGGGGACGCAGGGACCCCCCTTTGCTGCACAGATCCTGTCACTATTCATGTAGCACACTTGAACCCTGTGTCCAGTGCGCCGTGGCCCCAGAACCAACCGTGAGTGATGTCCAGGCAGGGCCTGCGGCTGAGGTGTGGCTAGGGGCAGGGCAGGAGTCCCATAGGGCTCAGGGGCGCTGGGAGGGGCTGGTGCTGGGGGTGGCAGTGGGAGCAGGACAGAAGGGGCAGCTCGCCAAGCTGGGGTTGGAGGGGCTGAGTGCAGGAGCCCTGGGGAAGGGCTGGAGCAGAGAAATGGGGTGGATGAGCTGGAAAGGCAGCGAGCTGGCCTCACAGACCCCGGGGTGCACCAGGGAGGCCCTGAAGGTGCAGGGCCCACCCAGCACCACTGCGGGGATGCACGTGACCTCCCACGTGGACCACGGCAGCAGCACGTGCCTGACTGAGGCCTCTGTGCTCCAGCTCCCTCTGCGCTTCACAAGTAGTGGCCCAAGCTCATGGCTCCCAAGGAGCTGTATGTCCCCTTTACAAGGGAGAAACTGAGGCTGAAGGTAGAGCAGGCGACCCTGTGGCCACAGGCAGCATCGCTGAGCTCCTGGGCAGAGGGGCTGACTCCTTAGGGTGGCCAGACAAGGCCCAAACGACCTCAGTTCTTCCTGCCCTGGCCGCAGCCTGGGTTCTGTCCTCACCTTGGTGTGGTGAAGGTGGAACAGCCCTGCCCCTGGCAAACTCCATCTTTTTTTTTTTTTTTTTTTTTTTGAGACGGAGTTTTGCTCTTGTTGCCCAGGCTGGAGTGCAATGGCACGATCTCGGCTCAGTGCAACCTCCGCCTCCCGGGTTCAAGCAATTCTCCTGCCTCAGCCTCCCGAGTAGCTGGGATTACAGGCATGCGCCACCACGCCCGGCTAATTTTGTATTTTTTAGTAGAGATGGGGTTTCTCCATGTTGGCCAGGCTGGTCTTGAACTCCCAACCTCAGGTGATCCGCCCGTCTTGACCTCCTAAAGTGCTGGGATTACAGCTGTGAGCCACCGTGCCCGGCTGCGTGCCCTGTCCTTTTATGGACGAGGATGCCAGGCTTGGCAAAGGCCTTTGAGACATGTCATGGCCATTTGGCCCTGTCCCTGGGGTCCCCGAGCTGCAGCAGGTGCCCCTCAGGGGGCACCTCAGTTCATTGTCTAGCCTCCCGCCCCCACTGGACCCAAGCAAGCGTTAGGGAGTGGGGGGCCCGTGTAGGGGGCCGGGGTCCTCCAGAACCCCTGCTCCCCAGGCTGCCCTGGGGCTGGGAGTGGGGAGGATGCCCAGGGCCGCCAGCACTCTAGAGCTGCTGGGTGTTTATCTGGGAGGCGATCTCCCTGCTTCTGGGCTGAGTTACAGTTCCATTTCTGTGGCTGAGGAGCGCCGGCCTCATGGGCCCCCACAACAGAGGACTGTGCATTTTAATCCCGGCAGGGTCCAGAGAGGGTGCGTGGCTCTAAAAGCCGGCGTGATGGATTTCTCTGGTCTTATCTTCATCTCGGCTGCCTCCTCAAAGACGGTGTTGCTCGGCCTCCTGCACACCACTATCTGGAAGCTGCTTTTAAAAGTGGGAATATTTGGATTCCAGACAATGGGGGGAGAATATTGGAAACGGAACTCTGAGAGGTGGAGCGAGCGACTGAGCTGCTGTCTAGAAGTGCTGGCCTCTCCTGGTTCCCACCTCAGGCCCCGGAGGGCCCCTCCCTGCTGCACAGCCGGCTGTGGCTCCTCCCGTCCTAGGCTGGGTGCCATACGCACTCCCACCTCCGGCCCTTCCTACCCCAGGGGCCTCCTTAGGTGCTTGCGGGCCTGGGCCTCCTGTGCCAGCTTTTGCCCCACCTCGCTCCTGAGCCTCCTTCTTTGGCAAGTCTTGCTTGATGGGTCTCAGGTGTGCCCCTGCCCATCTGTACCCCCAGGCCAGGGCAGCCCTGGCTCCCAGGACCGGGGTGGCAGTGTTTGCGGTGCTGAGGGGTTGTATGCGCAAATGCCTTCCCGTGGGCCCCATCTTGCAGTGTGGGTGGAGGCAAGGAAGCCGGGTGCGGGCAGGCTGGTGAGGTGCAATCTATTCCCTCTGTCATTACTTCTGCCAGCCCCGGGTCCTCCGCTTCCGAGGGGCTTCCCTACCATCCCCCACACAGACCTCAACAAGCACAGGAGAAACCAAGGCCCTCACGAGTCAGGCGGGCCAGGAGTCACCCCCAGATTGTCCTCTGCCCTTTCTGACTTTTGCGCCGCCCGAGCCTCCAGTGACTGGTCACTCCTGGGGAACCCTGCCCCCGGCTTGTCCTTAAACCACAAACCGGCCTCTCCAAAGCCCGAGGCAAGACCTGGGTCTCACAGGTGGGCATTTTTGACAAATTTTCTCTCTGCTGTGGTCAGCGAGTTCAGCTCACGTTCACACAATTCAAAGGGAGAGAAGTTGGGGTTCTCTCCATTCAGAGTCTCCAGAGCCCCGAGCCACCTGGTCAGTGCTCACCTGCAGAGCCCGTACCTGTGACTGTCTGAGCACCTGCTCGCTCACACCTTGTACACCGGTGGTGAGTCAGAGACCCTCCTGACAGGGTCAGTCAAATGGCATGGGGGTGCAAGAAAGCCCTGGGGAGCAGTCTCCAAGGCAGGGAGGTGGGTCTGTCTGTCACAGATAAGCTGTGGCCTCTGCAGAGCCGAGACAGCAAACTGAAAAGGCCGCGTGGCCAGGAGCCCTGGACCCCGGCAAGGCCGTCCTTCCAGCCCACTCGGGCGTGTAACTGACATCCAGGGGGCACTCTGGGAAGCTCGGGAATCACCCCTAGAAAGAGCCTGTGTTAAGTGCATCCCCTTCTCTCCTTCCCAGAGAGCCTCAGGCTTGCCTCCATTGAGTATGCACTAACCCTGCGGTCCCCGGCAGCCCCGGGTTGAGCAGGGACTTCACATTGTCTTCTGGTCTCATCCATCCTGCCCAGCTCTGCTGCCTGGGAGCCTGAGTGTGCCAGGGCAGAGCCCCATCAGGGAGTCAAATGTGTGCGGAGGACAGGAGGCTGGGGTGGCTGTGAGAGGGAGCTCTGCCCAGCAAGGATGCTGCCCTCAGGCTGAGATGGCTCTGCCCATGGGGTGAGCATCTGCCATCTGTCTTCCCCTTCATGGTGCCCTCCAGCCTGAGGGTGGGCCGGGTGGAGGCTGAACAGAAAGGTCAGGCGGTGGCAGGGACAGGACCCTGGGCAGGAGCTGGCTGGAGCCCCACCGTTACTTTCGCACAGACCCCTGTGGGTGGTCGGAGGTGCCTAGAGCAGAGGGTGGGGGTGCTCTGAAGTTGTGAGCCAGCCAGCCAGGGAACCCACGTGGGCTGGGACATGTGTCTGGGTGGGGTGGGGGTGCCTGCCTGGGCCCCCCCTTTCTCAGTGCGGTGGGGGGGACAGCAAATCGCATCTTGGCCCCTCTCTGGGGAAGGAGAGGGTGCAGCCGCTGCTGCAGTGGAGGCCTGAGGGCCCCGAGGGGCTGAGCACTGACTGCCCTGCTGGTTCTGTCTCCAGGGCCCTGGCGCTTGTCCTTGTCCTCGGGGCTGGGCTCTTGCCCTTAGGCCAAAGCTGGAGGTGGTTCAGGAGCCAACAGCCAGTGTGACCTCCATGGGGACACTGGCCAGAACCTGCAACTGGAGGGAATGGGGAAAGGCAAGCTGCCTTGGAGATGGGTCCGGGGAGGAGCACGGAGGGGCCAGGCCCCCCACAGCTTGCACACTCATGGTGACAAAACTGCCTGCTTCCCGCAGCTCACACGCTCCTCCTGGGGACAGGCTCCTTGGAAGCCCTGGGGCCCAGAGCTGGCTCGGCAGCCTCCCGCTGGAGGCCCCCAGCTCGTGAGGAGTTGACTCCCCCAGATGATGACTAAGGAGCTGTGGGGCACTGGGTGCTCTGTCCGCAAAGGCTCTCCCCGAGCCCGTGGACTGCTCCCTCTGGGCTCTGAAGATGAGGGGTGCTCGGGTCACTCATGGTGCGTGGCCGAGAGTGACTCCAACCTGACTTTGAGACGGTGCTAATCCTGGAGCACCAGGTGGGGAGACTCGCCCCTGAGAGGCTGACCTGATAAGGTCCACAGGGTGGTGGTGCTGCGGGCCCGGGGCCGGTGTGCTCCAGCTCTGTGCATGCCTGGATGTGGCCCTGGCCAAAGGCATTGCTGCCCTGTGCAGGGCTGGATGGTGGCCTTGAAAGCAGCTGCCTGGGACCTCAGATGCCCCATCCTGCCGGCAGGTCAGCCTGGCTTCCCACGGTGCTGGTGAGACAGGCGCCATGCATTGTTGAGACAGCGGAAAGCAGTGACGTCTTGGAGGCTTCTCGGGTCTGGCGGGCTGGGGACCACCATGTATGCCCACGACAGGACCCCCAACCTTTCAGCGCCACCCTGGCTGCCAGAGACACTCACGTGGAAGATACCGATATTAATAAATAACTTTTGAGTTACAAAACCATTGCTATCGCTATGGTGGGTGACAAAAGCCCCATGGTTGATGGGCAGCCGCGGGGCGTGAAATGGCTCGTAAATGTCCCTCCCGCCAGCCCCACGAAGCTGCGGAGGCAGTGCTGGGTGCTGAGACGTTGCGGTTTAAGACCAATGTTGATTAGAATTTTTTTATAAGTTTTTTTTTATAAGAGTAATAACAGCTCTTTTGAGACAATCACATGGCTCAGGAAGGGTTTTAAAGACCTTCAGGAATGAGAATTGGATTCGCAATCAGGAAGCGCCTCCCCCGGGCCACTCTAACGCCGCCTGTTTGTGTCTTTTTATTGCCATTTGCCCTCCAGGGATGGAGCCCCTTTGATGACTGAAGCTCCTTTTCAAGATCAAGGGCGCTGTTCCAGCAATGCCCGGACCGGGGCGCCTCCCCATCTAGGATGGGGGCTGGGGACCCCTGAACCCTGCCTTCTGCCAAAGTCTGGCGAGTTCAGGCCCAGGACAGCTGCCCAGTGTCCACCCAGGAGGCACCGGTGCCTGGAGGAGCTCGGGTCGGGCAGGTTGGCGGTCCCGGCTGTCGTGGGGCAATGGCCACCAGGTGGCAATGGAGGACTGGCCAGTGAAGAGGGATGCAGGAGGCAGGGCCTGACCCCGGGGGTGGGGATTGGCGGGACTGGGGGCCTGTGCTGTAGGGCTGTCCCACACTTCCCTCAGGCCCAGAAGCCTCGCTACCCAGAGGAACCCAGAGACAGCAACGCATTTCCTAAGGGCAGGAGCAACAAGGCCGGAATCTCGGGCAGGAAGGACCCACGTGGGTGTCTGGGCTCAGGGCAGCTTTTTTACTGGGACAAACTGCAAACTCATGGGCCCTGCAGTGTGCGGTGGCCTCGGGACACCCGGGGGAATCCCAGCCCAGTGGGGCCACGTGGCTCCCCAGTGGCATCCTCATGCATGGGCTGACTCCACTCTGGGGGCACCAGGGCCCCCTCCTCCCCCACACACAGCCTCACATGGGTCAGGGGTCCCCACAGGCAAGAGGGCTGCAGACAGTTCTGGGGAGGGGCTCCTAGCCTCGGGGGCCTGGCCATTGGCCCTGGTGCTCGGTGCTCAGGGAGGCAGCACACGCCTGTGCCCCTTGAGGGCTTGTGGGCTGGCCGGCTCAGCCCTGGCTTTGGGGGTGGGGTTGTGCAGTGGGCCATGCCCACACCCGGCTTTCTTTGTTGTGCCAGGAGGCAGGCTGTGTTCTGGGGAAGGGCCGGAGCTCCTCTTCACAGTCACAGCCCTGGATCAGGGTGGGTGTGCAGTCCGTCCCCAAACACCTGGGATCCCTCGGCAGGGCTGTTAGGCCGTGTGAGTTGGTGCGGCCTCCCCAGAGCATCTGGCAGCCGTGGGGGTGTTGGTGTCCTGAGGGCTGTTTCCTCTGCTGGGGGTGGGGTTTCCCACTGGGAGTTCTTCTATGGGACAGGAAGATGGCTGAGGGTCCTCTGCCCCTGCTCTCGAGTTCGGGGATAGTGATGGCAGCCTGCGCTGGGCTGAGGGACCAGGGGCCTCAGTTCCCCCGCAGCACAGGAGGAGGGGTCTGTGATGACTCTTTCCTTGGAAGGCAGCCCCAAGGCTCACCCTACAGGCCCTTGCTCTGTGCAGCCACCTGCTCCTGGCTGGGACAACATGCCCAGAGGCGGCCTTTGCTCTCCCTCCCTCCCTTCCTCCTTCCCTCCCTCCCTCCCTCCCTCCCTCCCTCCCTCCCTCAGGGAGCAGCCTGGGCTCATCAGGGAGACCCTCTCCCTCTGGCTGCCAGGGAGTGGTGAGGTAGTTTCCAAGCCGTCCTTGCTGGGGCATGTGGGTCTGAGCCTCAGGGTGTCTGCCCAGCATCCTTCCATGTGCTTGGACCCCATGTGCTGTGCAGATCCCAGGGGACCCTGGCCACCCCTTTCATTGGCCAGACAGCTGTGTCCGTAGAGCTCTGAGGGACTCAGAGCCCAGACATGGGCTGCAAGGGGGGTGGGTGGCTTCTTCTGCAGGTGGGGAAGAGCAATGGGGCCTGAGCCGCATGGACCCAGGAGCTCCACCAGCACCTGTCGCCTGCTGTGTGACCATGAGCAAGTCCAGCCACCTCTGTGAGGCCATGCCAGAGCATTTTGACTCAGCCCCAAACTGAGCCCGGATCCTAGCCCACATGGAGCCCTGATCCACCTCACACAGAGGCCTAACATTAGCTCACACTGAGTCCTGATTCCAGACACATGGAGCCCTGATTCCAGCCCACCCTGAGTCTTGATCTCAGCCCACCCTGGACCCGGATTCTAGCCCACTCTGAGCTCTGATCCCAGTCCACCCTGGACCCTGATTCTAGCCCATCCTGAGCTCTGATCCCAGCCCACCCTGGACCTGGATTCTAGCTCACTCTGAGCTCTGATCCCAGCCCACCCTGGACCCGGATTCTAGCTCACTCAGCTCTGATCCTGGCCCACCCTGGGCCTTGATTCCTGCTCACACAGAGTCCTGACTGCCGCCCGCACAGTCTGACCCAGGCAGGGCTCTGAGAGTCCGTGATGGCTGAAGGAGCATCAAAGTGGAGGGGACACATGGCGGGCTGGCATACCTCCTTCTGCTATGGGGTGGGAGTGGTCTTGGAAAATGTCTCCAGGAAGTATTTGACTCCTTTTTTTGATCCTCCTCGTTGTGGTTCTGGGGCCCACGCGACGTGTGGGGCAGAGGCTGTTCGTGGCCGTTTCTCTTGGTGTGGATTCCGCCGTTAGAACTTCTTTTCCATGGAGCAAGACTTGCTCTTAACCAGCAAACCCCAGAGGGAGGAACTCCCCATCGCTGGGCAGGCCCTGGAGGCTCTTTGTTGGAGGGCTGCAGGCTGGGTGGGGTCCCAGCCACGGGGTGGTCATCAACGCAGGGGCTGAGCAGAGGTGAGGACATCAGCGGGGCAGGAGGAGCAGCCTCTGCGGCCCCTCCAACCTGAGCCTGGGTGCCTGGCTGAGCTGGAGCTGAGCTGGAGCTGAGCTGGAGCTGGACGCACAGGCAGCCCTGCCTCCCACTCCGTAAACTTCCCTGATGATGCTGCCTGTCAGGCTCCCAGCCCCGTGTCAGTTCATTCTCTCTTCCACTCCACCCAGGATCCTGATCCTGCGTAACCACACTGACTGCGTGTGAGTGGGGGGGAGTTCTGAAAGATTACCTGCCACCAGTCCGTATGTAAATCCCAGGTGATTTATAAGCATGGACGGTTTTAAGGTCACCGGTGCGCAGAGCAGGTAGTCGGCCAGACTGCTGAACCAACAGTTTCCAAAGTGAGCGTGAAAGCATGAACCTGGCGCCTGCCCCAGCCTCCGTGCTGCTCAGGGCAGCTGCCTGTGTCTCTGCTGGATCCTTACAGAGGACGCTGGGGGGGTTCTGTGGAGCCTCGGGCCCTGTGGGCTGTCGAGGGGAAGGGCGGTGGCTCGGCCTGGGCATGTGAGGCTCACAAGAGCTGAGGGGCGGGTCCCGGTGGGTGCGCTGGAGTCCAGGTGTCTGGTGGGGCCCGAGGCAGGGAACGGGGTCCCATTTCTCCTGGGATGAGGAGGGTGACAGCAGGCTGGGTGGCCCAGGAAGCTGAGCTGAACATCTCTTGCTCTGTAAGCGGATGCTGGCCAGACATGGTGGGGCAGGCAGCTGGGGCAGGGAGGAAGGAGTCCAGCCCTCACCCATCCCCACCTGGCTGGGGAGGGCACCCCAGCCTGCTGGCCTCTGGGGGCTGGGATGGGAAGCTGATGATGGAGGAGGGTGGGAGGTGAGGGGGAGACCTGCCTGGTGGAGGGAAGCAGGTGGAGACTACAGAGAGGCTGAGTCCCCACTTTGCCAGCCAGGCTGGACAGGGGACACAGATATGGAACCTCCTAACTACTGAACGCTGGTGCCCAGCTCAGACCCTGTGGAGGGGGCCACATTGCCTGCTGAAGAGCGTGGCTGGGCCCAGCTATGGCAAGGACAGGTGTCAAGGGCTGTGGGCTCAGGAGGAAGTGGACACAGTCACTGGTGGGGCCAAGGGGAGTCACAAGGCTGGGGCAGGGGGGTGAGGGCGGCTGGGGAAGGCACTGCCAGGCACCCAAGCTTGCAGAGCTTCCCAGCCAGTGGCCACTGGGGGACTCTGAACCAGGCCCCTTCCCTTTCTTGGCCTCAGCTCCTCTGTGCCTGAAAAAGGGGCACTAAGAGTGGTCCCTGTTGGCCAGTGGCTCCTCAGCTGGTCCCCAAGGACAAAGCACAAGGTGGCACCACTCAGTGGCTTCAGGAGCTTGCTCCTGGCTGTGTGCATGTGTGAGCATGCAAGCTTGTGCCTGTGTGCAATGCACGCATGTGCGTGTATATGGGTGTGTGCGTGTGTGGCATGTATATATCTGTGTCCATGTATGTGGGTGTGGACATACGCATACATGTATGCATGCATGGATGTGCGTGCATTTGTGTGAGTGTGTGTGTGCGTGTGTGTGTGCACCGGGGAGCAGGGCTGACTGTCCTGGACGAGGAGGAGCCAGGCCTGCACGCATGAAGTGGCAGGCGTCGGAGGCTGAGTGAGATGTGCTTCTCCCCGTCGCGGTGGGGCAGGCTGTGGATTGGCACGGCTGCCATGTCCTTTTCAGTCCTCTTAATGTGAAGTTAATTAGGCAGAACATTCAAGAAAGACATTTGGAAGTTGATCTCAAATCAGAAGAGCCCCAGTGTGAGGAGAGGGAGGGCGAGGAAAGCCCCTGCAGCTGGGGAGCCTGTCTGTGTGAAGCCGGGGTCCTGGGCTGGGTGGCACTGTTGCTGGGGGGCCCCTGGGTGGGGCATTCCTTCCTGCCTGGCTCCCCCTTCCCCATCTGTCAAGAGTGGAAACAGTGAATGCGGGGCGCCCAGGCAGCCTAGGGGGAGTAGGGGCGGGTTCAGGGCACAGCCCGGCTGTCAAGTCTTGGGGAAGAGGAGGGAGGGACTTCTCTGGTGGCCCCACTAGGGTTGCAGGTCCTCCCAGGGCTCAGCTCCCTCTAGTTGGCCCTGGGGTTGAGTCCTGACCAGGTGTCTCTGCTGTCCAGGGAGTCTGGGCCACAACTCTGGCAGCCTGGGGACCTGCCTCAAGAAGGATGGCAGTGCTGGATGCCTGAGTGCCCTCCTGGTCTCCCACCCCCTGAACGCCCATGGTCGGGGAACATAACCTCGTCTCTGCGGGCGAGGCACACTCTGCCTGTGGGGCCAGTGTGGAGAAGCTGGTCAGGAACTGGAGGCCTGAAACTCGGGTCAGGAAAACCCCATGTCTGTCCCTGGGTGTGCATCAGACCAGGAAGAGGGACAAAGGCCACAGCAGCCCCGGGGAGATGCCAGTGGGTGAGTGTGCCTGGAGATGGGGATGGAGGGAGGCCGGGTGGCAAGGAGGCCTCACATGCCAAGGCTATGGCACGGCCTGGAAGGCTGGTGAGGGGATGTGGGCTCTGCCTGCACCAAGGGCAGCCCTGGGCAGGCAGAGGTGAGCCATGGCCATGGTCAGGGAAGGTGGAACCGCTGGGCCGTCACCTTGCACGGTGGTCCCAAGGCCAGCATCCCCGGGTGCTGGGACAGCATGGGGCACAACAGCCAGCCCACATAGAAATGAGGCAACGGGTCACAAGTGCAAACCCACAGCTAGTGAATATTTAACGCCTAACAAAAGTGCATGCATCATTAACCAGGTGCTGGTGGAGGAGCTGGAATAATTTGTCTTCTTAAAGGGGATTTGGTAATTTGTTAAGCTATTTTGAAACCTGCAGTCTAGCTGTGGGAGCCGCTCTGATTTCTAAATTAATTTGTGTGATTTAGAAAGTGGAAGCCTCTTGGTTCTGCAGGGGCCGCGGGCAGCAGGGCGGCCTTGCAGGCTCCTAGGTGTGCTCTGCATTTGTTGATTGTCCCATCCATGGGGACCCTGCTGAGGAGCTCGGCCCTGTGCACCCCGCCTCTCCCACCACCCTTGTTTCCATATGTGGAACCCAGTGGTCCCCCACCTCCCGGATGAGTTAGTTTACGAGCAGGTGCCACGGGAAGGTGGTCTCTGGAGGCTCAGTTTAACCCCCCTCCTAAGAGGATGCTCTTGGGCTGGAGGTGGGTGAGGCCATCTGGCCTGGAGCTGCTGGGCTTGGCTCTGAGATTGGCTGACACATCTGCAGTTCAAGGACCAGGCTGTGAGAGTCAAAGGGTGAGTTGTAACTATCACAGAGGTGACCACATGAAAAGCCCCAATTTCCAGCCCCAGATCCCCAGACCGTGAATCCCAGCTGTGGGTCACTGACTGGGAGCCTGCACTGTATCCTTCAGGGCCCTGGCAGGCCCCACAGGGCATCGCCACCCAGCTGGCGCCATCCCTGAGTCTCCGAAGGCCAGTCTGCCAGCCTCTCAGGCTGGCAGCTGCCAGACAGTGGGGACGTCAGACCAGTGGATTCTGTGAGGTTGAGTCCATTGCAGCTCGAAGGGAGACCCTTGGCTAACAGCAATGTTGTGCGGAAGGCCAGGCTGATGGGGAAAGATGGTCATATTTGCAGAAGCCTTGTGGCCAGGAAAGACCAGTCCATATTCAGATTAAGCGTCTCTTCTAGTGAGAACTAAGCGCTGCCTCTTTCATACAAAAGCAGTCCAACGTCATCACCTGTCACGGCTGCCCTGGTGATGGTGCTTCAACCTGTACTGAGCCTCAGTTTACCTCCCTAGCCAAACCTGAGTCCACCTCCCAGCTGAGCCTGGGTCCATCACCCCAGCTGAGCCTGACTCTACCTCACAGCTGAGCCTGGGGCCACCTTCCAGCTGAGCCTGAGTTCACCTTCCAGCTGAGCCTAAGTTCACCTCCCAGCTGAGCCTGGTTCCTCCTCCTAGCTGAGCCTGATTCCACCTCCCAGCTAAGTCTGGGTCCACCTCCCAGCTGAGCCTGGGGCCACTTTCCATCTGAGCCTGAGTTCACTTCCTGGCTGAGTCTGGGCCCACCTTCCAGCTGAGCCTGAGTCCACCTCCCAGCTGAGCCTGAGTCCATCATCCCAGCTGAGCCTGAGTCCACCTCCCAGCTGAACCTAGGACCATCACCTCAGCTGAGCTTGAGTCCACTTCCGAGCTGAGCCTGTGGCCATCATCCCAACCGAGTCTGAGTTCATTTCCCTGTTGAGCCTGGGTCTACCTCCCAGTCAAGTCTGAGTTCACCTCCCAGCCGAGCCTGGGTCTACCTTCCCAGCTGAGATGGGCCCTTGTGATTTGAGCCTATATCCCTATGGAGCCGTGTTCACCATGAGTGATTTTGTGGGTCCCTTCATTTGGTGACTTCTGGGTGTCAAGCACAGAGAGTTAAGTGAATCCCACCTGGATTGGCTGGGGGTCCCCAGCCAAGCATGCCCATCCTCTTGGTGGCCCACTCCTCACAAGCCTGGGACATCAGACCCTTGGGCAGCTCCTGAGCCCGACACACAGGGTCTGTTGGTGTGTCCTGGAATGGTGGGGAGGTGGTCCCTGGAAGAAGAGTAGGGGTGATCTGGCACACTGCTCTCTCCACGAGCCGTGGCCCGTCAGAGCCTGAGCACCTGAGGGACTTTGCCAGGCCTCTCAGCACTGGAACTGCTTCTCTCTGTCAGGCATCTGCTGCTGGCTCCAGAGGGGGATCTAGACAGGGGAGCAGAAGCCTCTCCAGCCTTGCCCTCAGATGGGCTGTGCGGAGGAGGGTCTCCTGCTCCCTGGGAACTAGAAGACATGGCAGAGAAGTCTGTGGTTTCCTTTGATTCTGGAAGGTTCTGGGGCAACTAGGGAAGGGTCAGGTTAGAGACTCTTACTGGGGAGGGGTGGCCAGCCGGGAGTGGACACAGTGACCATTTCCTGCAGGGCTTGGGGGCCTGGCTGGGGGCTGGCTGTGGGGGCTCAGGGCGTCACTCCCTGGGTGGGTGAGGGGGCCTGGGGGCTCCTGCAGACGCTGCCTTCCCTGACTCCCTGTCTTCTCTCAGCTCCCCGGGGCCTTTGGCCATAATTTGGTTTGGGCATCCTCAGTCTGTGTGGGCTGGAAGTCCCTGAGGGGATCTCCTTTTGGGCTCCTCTCCTTGGGCTGCAGGAAGAGGGGGTGACCCTCTGGCCCACGTGAGCCTGTCTGGCCGGGCCAGCCCATTGCCAGTGTCCACTGGGACAGGATTTGAGGGCCATGATGGCCACTTCCTCTGAGCTCCAGGTTGGACAAGGCTGCACAGGGAGCTCGGGTGTCCCTCTGGGCCAGAGGAGAGCCCTGGACCCCGGGGGACCAGCCCAGGCACAGTGTCACCGCAGCCCTCTTGTCTATCCCTGAGTGCCCCACCTGCTCCTGAGTGGCCCCCTAGTCCCTCGTCCCTCCAGGGGTGCAGAGCTTCATGCAGGAGGCTGGGAGCCTGGGGTGAGGGGCAGGGCTGGGCATGTCTTCAGAACGATGTGCTCCAGCAAAGCCCAAGCCGGGGCTCCAGCAAAGCCCAAGCAGGGGCTTCAGCTGCCACAGCCTCTGGCTTTGAAGATGGCAGCCCCGACAGCTTCTTTTCCATCTATAGTGCCTTTTTCAAGCTCTGGGCTTCAAAGCCAGCCTCGTAGCTCCTGGAGAGGCTCAGCCCCTGCTGGATATGACTGGGGTGGGGTGGGGATGGGAGATGGGGGAAGAAGAGCTGTGTCCCCAGGGACAGCGCTGGTGGCCTCAAGCCACTGAGATTGAACTTGAGGGAAGGGAAGCTGTGACCCCAGGGCAGATGGCAGATGCTCAGTTGGGTGTTTGCTCCTGGGAAAGGAGCAGAGATGACTGTGGATGGCCATCTCCACAACCCCCTCCCCAGCTCTGCAGAGCAGCCGCTTTTCTAGGAGCTCATCCAGTCCTTGCTGTACAGGTAGGGAAACTGAGGCTCAGAGAGACTCGCCCACAGCTGCACAGCAGGCAGGTGAGGGGCTGGACCCCTCCTGGGTCCTTCTTTCTGGCAGGGCTCACATGGCTCTGATTTTGGACTGCTGATCCCCACCTGGAGACCCACTAGGTGGGGAGCCTGCCCCTGGTCCCGCAAGCCCAGAATCTCTCCACAGGGCTTTTCAGTGAGGCCGCCGAGCCTCCAGCCTCCTCTTTGTTCTGCCCAGCGCAGTGCCTCAGCAGCTTTCTCCATGGCTGGATGCATCCTGAAATTATCTTTCCATTAAAAATAAATGCCCCATTTTATCTGCCTGAAATGGCCCTGCTCTCTGATTGTCTTTTCCGTGCCGCTGTATATGGAGAACTATAAAATCATAATACAACTATTAATCCCCTGTATCTGCTTGTACCTAATTTTTATTAAAAATATCCTGTGCTCCAGCTGCCTTGTAAATTATAGTGAGGTTGAAAAGTCTCCAACTGGATTAGCCAGGAAGGAGAGCGTATTGGATCGGAGACAGGCTCACTCTGGAGCACGGGGCCTGGCGGTGTGGGTTAGGAACATGGCAAAGCGATGCTGGGGCTGCCCCGTGCCCTGGGCAGCTGGGGGAAACTGGTCTCCATGGCTCAGTGGCAGCCTGCCTCCCCCTCCCAGCCTGGGCTCCCTGGGCCTGGGATGGGCTCAGGGGTCTGGTGCAGAGGAGCTCAGGGCCACCAGAAGTCCTGGCTCTGCTGCTCCTGGTGTCACCCCATGCAGACTCAGGCTTGAGTCCAGCTGCCATGACCATGGGCCATGGGACTCTTCTGAGGTGCAGTTTGCCCCCTGCACAGAGGAGTCACAGCGGTGCTGAGGGGAGGGCGGGGAGCAGAGTCCGGGGGTCTTTGCCTTCCAAGGTAGGCATACCCCCACCCCTCCGAGGCCTAGCATGGCTCCTGCCCTTCTCTCCCCTTGAAAGGGGCCGCAGCCACTCTGAGGGCTTCCTGGGTGGCCGTTGAGGCTCCGAGCTCCAGCGGAATGAGCTTCTCTGACATCATTCGATGAAGCTGGCACACTGCCCCAGGCCCTCACAGTCCAGGCAGACGAAGGGGAGCCCAGGGCCCCTTCCTCCCAGCCCGAGCCCTGCCTGGCTTGTTGTGTGGGGACAGGAGATGCCGCGGGGGCTGGGGTGACAGCTGGACGTTCGCTGGCAGCCACCCACAGCCAGCATTGCAGGAGGGAGGCCCCGGCCTGCAGGAGGGCAGCGAGGCTGAGGATAGAAGCATGCCTTCGGCAGGCTGCGGGTGCTGGGGGCCGTTGTGGCTGGGTTGTGAAGGTTCCCGAAGGTCCAGCTCTGCAGCCTCGCCTCTGAGTCGGGCTGACCTCCCAAAGTAGGCCTTTCAGAGGGAGGAAGGCAGGACGCCGCCCGATGGTGGCTGCAAGGCTGATGGTGGCACAGCGAGGGATTCAGGGATGTGTGTGAGTGCTGGGGCTTAGGGAACAGCAGGACAGAGGTGGCCCCTCCTCTTGGGGGTCCCCCCTCACTGCGGAGGGGGTGTTGGCCAAATCCACAGGTGCCACAGAGCTGTGGACAGACAGCGGCCATGGGGTGCCCCACCTCTGAACTTGGGACCTCCAGTCAGCTCCAGCCCCCTCCTGCCCTCCTGTCTCCTCACCCCAGGCGGCCTTGGCTTTCCCTGCTCGGCTCCCGCCCTCCACTCGAGAGGCCTGGATCCTTGTGCCTCAGGGAGTGTTTGGCTCACAATGGTGGGGGGGGGGTCCCAGGCTGAGGACTGGAGGGGCTGCACAGAGGAAGGGCCCCTTCCCAGAGTGGATGGGTTGGGCAGTGGGGCCCTGTTGCCCCTGACACCCCAGAGTGGCCAGGCCCCTCTGCGGGTCTCTATGTGAGCTCCTTCCTCAAAAGGTGGTTGTGGAGAATTCCAAGCACACCACGGGGAGGGGACAGTGCTGTGGACTCCGTTTCCCTCCGCCAGCCTCCCAGTGCCGACCCGCAGTCTCCTCTCTCCTCTCCAGCATCTGCATGTCCACACCTGGGGGGTTTGGAGCAAATCCCCAGGGTTGGATTCATGTATCTGTAAATATCGCTAAACAATAAGGCCGCCTTGAAAAGTAGCCACAGTGTGGTTATACCTAACAATGAAAAACAACGTCTTCACATCATTGCATACTTAGCTACCGTTCACATCTCCCCGGTGTCCTGTGTCTGTTTCTACAGGGTTGCGCCTCTGCCGGTCTTTTCCCCTGTGCAGTTTGTGTTTTGCAGAGGCTGGCTGTTTGTCCCAGAGTGTGCCCAGGGTCTGTGGCGGTGGCACCACGCCCACTGTCCTCAGTCCCCTGCCTGGCCTGGCGTTGGTTGATGTAGCTAGAGGTGGGACCCACGGGGGTGCTGCTCTGACCCCCACCCGGCCGTGTGCCCCTTCTGCTGGTCTCTCTTTTCTGGCTGTCAGCAGCTGTGGGCGTCCCTGCCCCGGCAGTGGCCAGCTGGTTATTTTGGTCCCCTTCCTTCTTGGTTCCTTTGCTGATGTGGCTTCCGCAGAGAGACGCCTTCTCCACCAGGCCCGGTGCATCATCCGTGGAGGATGCCAAGAGGAGGAGGCACACGATCTTGGGCCCTGTGGGGTGCGGGGAGGGGCTGGCACCCCCTGAGAGGGCTTCCTTGGGTTTTGTGCCAGGTGCCTCCCGTGGTCTGGCCCTACCCACCACCCTGAGTCCAGGCTCCTGAAGTTAGCCTGACGCACGCCTGGCCTCTGCACACAGCCTGTCTCCTACCGGGTACTTCGGCCAGTGGCTTAACCTGGTGCTCCTATAAAATAGGTGATGCCGCCTGTCTCATTGCAAGATGTCATAGGTGAGATCGCCCAGGTTTGGCAGAGATGAGTGGAGGGCGTCTGGTGAGTGGAGGTGGGTGAGAAGTTTCCTTTCCCTCTCTGTCCTTCCAGCCCCCTTCACTCCCTTGTCCTCCCCGTCCCCAGCCTTCCCCCTGGTTCTGTCCCGCTGGTTCCCAGAGGGAGGTTACCCAGGGCTGCTGCTTGGGGCCCAGGTCTGGTGAGCAGAAGTTCTTTGGGCAGTTCCAGACTTTCCCTGGCCAGGCGCAGCTCCCTGTGATGCTGCTGAGGCCCAGCATCTGCTTCTGCAAGATGCACAGGGACATCAAAACCGATTCCCCACGAGACAGAGCCTTCAATCGACATTTCACTTTTATGGACGGGTTTATTGCAAAGTAGATCTCCCACAGCCAATTCCCTGCGAAGGGGACAGGCTGAGCCACAGCAGGACAACACGGCAGCCACCCGGGCATGGACGCTGCGCACTGGAGTTGTGCCCGAGGTTGGCACCTGCCCACCTCCTGCCCCAGGTCTCGCGGGTGCCCCCGGGATCTGACCTACCGGGACTGCCGTCAGGTCTGTCCTCAGCAGTAACAGGCCACGAGACAGGGGCTAGCACAGGTCCCCGGGATTGGGCTGCTCACCCGGGGGGAGGGAGAGCCGAAGGAGGCGAGCTCTGCATTCAGGTGGAAGCAAAGCCACCCTCACAACAGCACCCCAAAACCACCGTCACTTGGCACCCCAAAACCACCCTCACAGCAGCATCCCAAAACCACCCTCACAGCGGCACCCCAAAACCACCCTCACAGCGGCACCCCAAAACCACCCTCACAGCAGCACCCGTGGGTCCTTCCTGCACTGGCAATTCTCCCCACCGTCATAGCTGCTCCCCCGCCCACAACAGGAGCATCACAGGTTGGGGCGGACCTCCTGGAAGACTCGCGACCCCTTCTGGAAGACTTGAGACCCCAGGAGGAGGTGTGGGCACAGACAGATGTGTCACTCCAGTGCCTGGCTGCCAGCAGCAGGGGGCCGGCCTGTCAGGGACCTGAGGCAGAGCTGGGGCAGCCACCAGCCGAATGTGGTAGATGTTTTAGCCTCAGGGAGGAGAGGATCTCAGGTCTGGCCGTGGCTGGAGTGGGAGTTGTGAGAGTTGGCAGGCCCAGCCCAGGAGGGAGGGTGCAGCAGGAGCCGTCCACTGGGCTAGGCTGGGCCTGGCTGATCTCAGCGGCTCCCGCTGGCCTGAGCGTCCTTGGCTGCTGTCTGGACACATCCACAGCTGGGCATTCTCCAAGTGGCTTCAAGGACCTCTTTTGGGGCAGGGTCCCTAAAAAGCCCTGGATGTGAGCGGGAGCCTGCAGGAACTGTCTGCCTGCCCTTCCCAGCTCGGAATCCCTCACCTGCACACCTGGACTGGATAGGGACCTTGACTGGATAAGGGAGGGCAGAGGATGGGTGGGCCGTGGGATAGGCTGTAATTTTGACCCCGACTTGGGGGAACTGGCTGTAGCCTGGAGTGAAGCCCCCTGCTCCCGGCCCCTGCCCTCCATACCCCGACATCGCTGCAGGGAGCTGCCCTCCTTGGCCTGGGAGATGGGGTGCCGACCTCCATTCTTTCTGTAGGGCCAGGAGGTGCGTCCAGGTGAAAAAGGAAGGGAGGAGGCCCAGAGAGAGGCAGGCTGGGAGCACAAACAGTGAGAGGAAAAGGGGGTCCCCTGGGGGATGTCTGGAGGGAGGCAGCCTGCTCAACCCCCTCATCCAAACTTGCCCCAACATTGATTCCCTTCCAGTCCTTATTGGTCAGTCTCCCAATAGTGGCCGGTCACCGGGGACTGCAGTTAAGTTGCCTGTGACTGATGCGGTTTCGGGAGCTGAGAATGATGGGTGGGACAGCGCAGGTGCCTGCAAAGCCACTGACGGATCAGTGCCCGCTGAGTCATTCCAGGTGAAAATCAAAGGCGAGCTGATTGCTAAGGGTGGTGGAGGGAAGGATGCTTCCAGGGAGATGGTCTGAGCACCGTGTCGAGGGGCCTGTGACTGTCGTGGGGGGTTCACATGCAGCCGCCCGTGCAGCGTGGCCAATCATTTTCCTGGGAGAACAGATAACAAACTCAAACAATGCATTCTCCTTGCATTCTAACAACCAGCGCAGGGTGGCAGTGAAAACTCAAATCTCTATCCAGTGCAATATCAGACTATTTTTGAGGTTTTACTTTTCAAGATAAAGATCCATTTAAACCTTTCCCCCGCTATTTTCTGTGACACGTTGAGCTCGGCTGCACCGTGTGGCAGTAACAAGCCATCTCCCAGCTGCAGCAACTCCACACTGCCGGCCCCACACCACCTCTAAGGCCTCCAGGGCACCTGCCCTCCTGGGGAGGGCTGAGCGTTGACTTCTCCATCAACATGTGTCACCTGTCCCAGGTTTTCTGAAACAGGAACATAGAAGTAGGTGGAGAGCTGAGCACTGCCCGCTGAATGCGGCTTCCCGGAGGTGACACGGAACTTTTCCCATTCCAGCAGCCAAACCAAGTCCAACCACTATGCCTGACTTTGCAGGGCAGGCGGGATACAGGATCCAGGAGCTGGGGAGCTGCACGGTTACACGAATTCACTTCCACTCACTACAAGGGGCTTTCTTCGGTTTTGTTGTTAGTAACAATTATTCTTGGGTACATTGCTTAGGAATACATTCAACTTTGCACTACATAAAACCCAAGTTAACATGGTTTGGCAAATGAGTTTTCAATTTCTATGTATCAAGAAGTCTGGAGTTCAGCAGGCACCCAAATTTGGTGTGGGGTCCATGGTGCCAGCAGGGACTCAGGCTCTTTCTGTCTTTCTGTTCATTCATCTGCAAGGTAGCTTTTGTCCTTCTGCTTTTAGCCTCATGGTTGCAAGATGGCTGCTTCACCTCCAGCATCACATCCGTGTTCCAGGCAGGAAGAAGGGTCAGGACCAAGGACAGAAGAGAGTGAAAGAGGGAAGCAAGACTGATGGCTGAGTCTTATTCTTCTATAGTACTTCCTGGGGCACCCACCCAGGGCCGCTCCTTACATCAGTGGCCCAGAACTGTGCTGTGTGGTCATTGCTGGCTGCAAGGTGACCCAAGATACATTTATGTTCAAGAGGATTCACTGATGCCTGGGCAGAATCAGCGGCTGCAGGTCCTGCCCCCAGAAGGCCCAGGAGATAATGGGAAGGCTGTCATTGGTCTCCCCTAGGTGGGGACATCCTGGTGTGCTATCATCTTTACGGAGAGGAAACACAATTCCTCTTTCAATTCACTTCTTTTACCATAAAAAAGCCTGGGCCTGTTCCCCCAGCCATGATGACAGACGCACTGCAGGCATTCACAATGAGGACGAATGTGTGTGGTGCCTCCTTTTGTGCTTTTTGCAGGGTTGTGGCATGTGTTTGGACACGCCTGTCCATGTAGCTGGAGACAGGCCTGACCCAGTCTGCGTGCTGTGCTGGACATGCCTTGGCTTCTTGGGTCCTTTTCATGAAATCTGCTGTTCTTGGGGTCCCATTGTCCTTGTCCCCTTGCTTTTAGGGGCCACATAGAATTTTGGGCTTGACTGGTGTTGGTCTGTGCCCATGGCCCAGTGAGTCCTTGTGGTTGAAGGGAAAGGACAGTGCCAGGATTGTGCTGTGTGGGGTGGGGAGGTGGTCTGGGCACCTGAGAGGGGTCAGGGCTGGGACTCCTCCCCACTGGACGGCACCATCCACCTGCCCCGACTCCCTGGGATCAAAGGCTGTGGGGAGAAGAGTCAAGCTGGGGCTGAGAGAGGGAGGCGGGGCACTAGCCTCTGTAATTAACACGCTGAGCGCTGGGTAGGCTGGCTGATGAGTTTTTTTATTAAAATAATGATGCCTTCCAGGCAATCAGGGAGAATTGCATGAAACTCAGCAGTTTTCACTGCTTATTGATGGTAACTTCAAGCAGTGGACAGTCTCATTACCATCTGTAAATACCCAGGGTCGTGTCCTTGATGGTGGAATATTGTCTTCCTGGATGGGGAGGCATGGCTCCCCAACTCCTCTTCCTCCTCCTCAGAGGCTGTAAAACCCTCTGGGCCTGATTGGCACGTGCTTTGGACAGGCATTTGACAACCTCGTTTGTGGAACCTCCAAGGGCCGAACTGGGAGGGGCTGGGAGGGACAGGAGGGACAGACCAGAGACCGGTGAGGGAGGGGTGGAAGCGGGGCTGGGGAGGACATTGGGGCAGAGGTGGGGAGCGGGGGCTGGGGAGAACGCTGGGGCGGGGGTGGGGGCAGGGCAGGGGGCTGGGGAGAACGCTGGGGCGGGGGTGGGGGCAGGGCAGGGGGCTGGGAAGAACGCTGGGGCAGGGGTGGGGGCAGGGCAGGGGGCTGGGGAGAATGCTGGGGCTGGGGTGGGGAGTGGGGCTGGGGAGGATGTTGGAGCAGGGGTGGGGAGTGGGGCTGGGGAGAACGCTGGGGCTGGGGTGGGGGCAGGGCAGGGCCCTGTCCTGTGCAGCCCTCACACCCCAGGACTCAGGCCATGGGGAGCCTCTGTGTTGGTGGCTTGTTGTGGTGGGAAGAAGGCTGCGGCCCCTCATCTTCCGCACTCTTCTAGCTGTTCACAGGGGCTCATGGTGGGTTTGGGATGAGACCGGGTCATCCCATGACACCTGCTCACTCTTCCCTTCTTCCCCTCTGCAGCGGCTCCTGGGGCAGAAGTGGCATTCTGTGGGGATCCTGCTGGGGAATAAGACATTTGGAAAGCTGGGCTGGGGCCAGGGGCTGGGGACCGAATGGCCATCTTTCCTAGAGAGGATGGATTGTTGTCCACCCAACATAACCAACCTGCACCAGGCAGTTGGCAGTGTCCCCTGGGTGGTGGCTGCGGACAACATGGACCCAAGCAGGGGCATCCCTGAGGGGAGTCTGTGCTGCTGAGCCCCCACCGCCCCGGAGCCCCTGCCGAGCCCCCACCGCCCCGGAGCCACCTTGCCCCTGTTCTGGCTCACCTGCTGGGGTGTCTTGTCACCTGGTCATTCACAGCCTCCCCATCTGGGTCTTCCTGAGTGGTCACCTGGATGCAGATGTGTGTACAGCCCGTGTCTGTTCCAACGAGCCTTGCCACCAACAGCTTCCTCCTTGTCACCAGCTCGGTCCTTCTCATGGCCAGCCTCTGGCCACACCTGGGGGCCCACAGGACTGTGGCTTCACATCACTCCCACTTCATGGAAACGTGACTGTCATTGTGCCCTGCTCAGGCCTGGCTGCTGGATGATGCCTCTTGCCACCAGCCTCCAGACCACCCATCAGCCAGCCCGGGAGCCACAGATGAGGCCACAGGTGTAGCCGTGGGTGCCTGAGGGCCTGTGGGCACATGGGCCTGGCCCGGCACATGTGGCGTTCACCTGGTGAGGGAGGAGCATCTTGGGCGTGGCCCAGCTCGAGGGCTTAGTGGATCAGGGGACCTCCAGTTCACATGGGGCAGCTGGGCCACCTTGTCATTTGGTGTCCCATTGTCAGGTGTCTACAGCCTCCCAGGCCCAACATGAGCCAGGAGCTCTCTCTCACGTGAGGATCTTACTCGCTGGGAGGGCTCTCTTCTGGAACTCTCCCACTGCAGCCGCCTGCCCGGAATTCCCAGCGGCCTAACCCTTGGGCATCGGTGATGCCCTCGGTCATCAGGGGTGGAAGGAAGGGCCTGGTCTTGCTTTGTCCCCTCTCCCTCGCCTGCCACTCCCTCCTTCGTGGCTGTGTCAAGAGCTGTGCTACCCAGTGGGGCTTGTCTCCCACCTCTGGCAGGTAAGGTGCTCCGTGTCCGTCTCTGGTTCTATGGTGAGTCCCCCCGCATGGGCCAGCATGAGGCCCAGGTAGTGCTGCAGCCATCACTTCTGTGGACCAAACTCTGTCACAGAGAGGGGTGCTGCGGTGTCCCTGAGAGCAGGTGGTGGAGACGCCCCAGCCTCCCTCCAGCCCAAGGGCTGGAGGGTTCCTGATTTCCTGGACGGGAGGGAAAACCAGGTGCCTGGCTGATGCCCATGAGGACCCTGCATCTGGAGCAGCAGCTGCTGCCGGGTGCAGCTCCGAGTTGTATTTACAGTGTCATCGCGTCAGAAGCCGTGCTTGCGGGTAGAGGGAGAACTGACTGCATTTCCAAATCTTTGGGGCATGGCACTGTCTCTCTAATTCCTCCGGGAATGTGCTGGAGCTTTGGGGTTTGGCAGCAGGGAGAGTGCCGGGTCCCACCGTGTTGCTCCTCAGTCCTGGGGTCAGGGGACCAGTGTGGGAATTCATGAAGTGCTTTTCCAAGTACGCCCTCAGGAGCTTGAGGAAGACATGGGGATGGGGTTGCGGGCCCTCCGGGCGCCGCTGAAGGGCAGAGCTCCACTTATCCCCAGGTCCCCTGAACCCCCTCATCCCCAGGTCCCCTGAACCCCCTCATCCCCAGGTCCCCTGAACCCCCTCATCCCCAGGTCCCCTGAACTCCCTCATCCCCAGGTCCCCTGAATCCCCTCATCCCCAGGTCCCCTGAACTCCCTCTCTGATTTGGGGATGACAGTGTTATTCAAGGACACCCCCCAGACTTCTAGGGGGTCCACTCTTTGTGGATGGCTGCCCTGACTCAGGAGAGACTCCCAGGCTGACATTGTAAAGGGCGTCTGGCAGGGCTCAGCCTGGGGGTGGGACTTGGCCACTGCCCTTGTGCCTTCTTGAGCTAAGCCGGCTTCTCCCGTGGTCCCACCGAGCACCTGGGGTTTGGTCTGTCCCTTGAACCAGGAATTTAGGGATTCGAATGTGTGTGTTCTCTCTGACCCCCCAAGTTCTGCCCCACGGTCCGGAGACCCCAGCCCTGCGTGTGCTTCCTGCAGCTCAGTGTCCTCATGCGGGTCGTTCTGCGGGCTCCTCCCCAGGCCATCCCAGGGTGATTCCGCTGCTTCAGCTGCAGGAAGACGGTGGGAATGTTTCCAGGGAAGGCGGGCACCCGGAGGTGGGCAGGGCACTGACGGGCGGCTCCCATCCCTCCCGCTTGTGGAGTGTGGGTAGCCCTCGGTCCCTGCTGTCTTGGTCACAGAGTTCACAACCAGGGGTGGGGCCGGCAGCCGGGAGCCTCCTACCAGCCCCCAGACGCTGCCTTTGAGGGAGCGACTTCTTCCTCGGTGTTTGCTTGCTCTGGGTTTCCTTGTGGGGGCCTGACTGGTGTTTTAGCTGCAGCGGGAGATCCACCCGGGACCTCCCAGCCTGAACGTCCTCAGAGGGTGGCGCTGCCTTCCGAGAGGATTCTGCCACAGAGCGAGAGCTTGCTGTGAATGTCAGGGCGCCAGGGCTGAAATTATAGCCTGCCTGGGCTGCCACTGAAGCCACATCCCCAACTGTTCCCTTCCCTTTATTCCCCTCGGCGTGTGTGACAGCCCCCGGGGAGGGGGCCGCTCCAGCTGGGAATCGCGGGCCTCGGGGACTCGTGCTGGCATAGAGGTGTGCGCCAGCCCGCGCGCCAGCTCCGGAATGAGTCAGAATAAATTAGCATGCTAACGAACGCGGGCGCACACAGGAACCATCTGGAACAAGGGAGTTGTCATCCGGAGAGCCAAGTTGGTTCCAAAGCCATACTTAATGTTTCAGATTAGTTCATCTCCCTCCTGCAACCTGGGGGATGGCTTAGTGCTACCCCATAGAGGGTGCACTGAGGGCCGGGCGGTGCGGGGATGAGGCACCTCCAGAGGGACTCGGTCTTGATGGTTCCCGCATCCCCTTGGGCCATCAGTACAGCCAGGAAAGGGCAGCAGTGAGACCCTCCTGAGATGGGACAGTGTGTGCGGTCAGGGGCAAGGCCCCAGTGGGGATCATGGCAGAGACCCTGTGTCCCCATCAGGTGCACTTCAAAGGGAGGGCAGTGGCACAGCATCGTCTCTCTAATTCCTCCAGGAATGTGCTGGAGCTTTGGGGTGTGGCAGCAGGGAGATTGTAGGGTGAGGGCAGGGGTCTCAAATGCAGACCCAGGTGCTCACAGACACACAGATGGAGGGACACGCGCACACACTTGCAGGCATACAGACAGACACACACTCTCAGACAGACACTCAGACACACACACTACAGACACACAGGGACACACTTACACAGACACACACAGGCACACAGAGACATTTGCTCACACACAGTCACACACAGACACATACACTCATAGACGATCTCACACAGACACACTGACAGACACAGTCATCACAGACACAGAGACACACTCACAGACAGACAGACGTAGACATACACACTCACAGACACACTCACATTCACTCGTCTGCCTGAAGCCAGGCACGTTTTACTTAAGCCTGAGCGACGTGGGGCCCGATGGAGCAGCCGCTGACCTACTTGAGGGTGCTCCCGAGAAGCTTGGAAATCTGCATTTTCAAATATCTGGCTCTCATTTGGTGTTAGCATGTGAAATAAACCCATATTGGATCCTGACTCCACACTGAATCACCTCACAGGGTTAACGACAATCCAAGCCAGGCTTCAGGCAGAGTTATAGCGAGGCACCGACCCGGGTGTGCAGGGCCACTTCCACCCAGTCCCCTGCAGCTCTAATGCACAGAGAGTCCCTCGGCAGGCTGAGCACCTGCTGCCCCGTTCTTCCACCAGAGAGACTCTCTGGCCCTGGGTCTTTTTACTCAAGAATTGCTTAAGGTGTTTTTCAGATCCTGAATTCTAGTAGCACGGCTGAGGCCAACAGGTATGAAGACCCCCGACCAAGGAAGCAGTAAAGTACAGGAATGCGGTTTCTTCATCCTCCACACTTCTCCACCAGTCAGCAATCCCCACACTTTAGCCCATCACCTGCCCAGACCCCTTAAGAGCCCATCCCAAACTTCCTGGGCAGGTGGATTTGAGGTTTCCTCTCATCTCCTCATTCGGCTGCCCTACAATTACTAAAGTCTTCCCCTGCTGCAACCCAGTGCAATACACTGTATCTGTGTATTGACGCGCTGCACAGTGGGCTACAAACCTAGTAGGGTTACAATCTTGGCTGAGTCCCTTATCCTCTCCCAGCCTCAGTTTCCCCATTTGATTAGGGGTGATGGCCAGGAGCATATGCCTCCCAGAGCTGGGACTGGGCTCAAGGCAAGAGTGCAGAGAGCACATGGCTCCCAGGACCAAGAGGAGGCAAGAGATTATGGACTTCTTTGAGGAGTGGGTGCAGAAGTTGTCGTTTAACCATCTGCACTGGTGTGCCTCTTGTGGGGAGCAGCTTGACTTCAGGTGTCCTGGTGGAAGATGTGCAAGGTGTTTGCCTTTCTGAGCGGCAAGCTTTTTCCAGCTCCTGAGATCACAGTAGTTTGGGCTCTTGGAGGAGTGTTGGGACAAATAAGGAACAGGATGTAACTTGGCGTCAGTGTTTTCATGGACTCAGGAGAAGAGAGCGGCAGCAGGAGCCGAGGAAGGGGCGAGTGGCCTCTGCTGGAGTCGGGGCCTCCAGCCAGAGTGAGCACAGGGCGTAACCCCCCAGGGATGCCCAGAACCCTGAGAGGCACCCGGCTGGCTTCTTACATACAGGACGGAGCACGGGGCCTTAGCCAACATGACACAGGACGGTGGGGCTCAGTGATGTCCGGCTTCATTCTCATCAGTGTCCTTGTAATGTTCTTACCACACTGCGATGGTGGATGTGGGTATTTATTCTTGACTCCTTCTATATGGGCATTTATTTTGATGGAAAAGCATCTGAGTTGCAGGACGCACTAGCCCTCTTGTAGGCAAACCTGTGGAAGGTCTGGCTATTTGGGTCAGGAAGCTGCAGATAAGTGGGCACCAACCCTCCTGGGATGACAAGGTGAGGCGGTTCCTTGGGCTGGAGACCTGGGCTCTAGGGAGAAAGAAGAGCCAGCTCTGAGCTGGGTTTGCCACTAGGAGAAGGAATAGTCTCTCACACACCATCACTCTCATGGCTGAAGACAGTCTCTGCTCTGCCTCCTCTCCTCGTGGCCCAAAGTAGGGCTGGGCAGGTGGGGAGGGAGGGCTAAGGGTTCCCTATGCACTCCTCAAGCTGTGTCTCACAGTCGCTGTTGGAGGATGTAAATTTTCTCCCACTCATTCAAAACAATCTCACCATTCAAATTAAAAATGGACACAATTAAACAAAGTGTGCCTTTATATAGCTTGATCCTTGGGGCTAACATTTGCCTTTTTGTTGCTAATTTCCAGTTGTATGTCTTACAGTTTTTGCTTTGTAGATTTGGATGATAAATTATTCCCTGCTTAAAGGTTAATCGTTGCTGTGCCCTCATTGGGTCTTTAATTGTTCCTCAGAATCAAATTACTCTTTGTCTCTTTTAGTGCTTTTTGGCTTTATCTGATACTCATTTTACCAACTCTCTTTCTTATTGTTTATGCTTGCCTAACATATATTTGCTTTCCTTTTCTTTTTAACATTTAAGTATTTTATTTTACGTGTACCCTTTGTGAGGAGTGTATATTTGGATGGTTTTCTTTAAATAGTGTTTATTGTCAAAACAGACATGTTTGTTGATACATCTGTTATTTATGCTTTGTTATCCTTTTTCTTTCCCTATCTTTGGCTTTGTGAGCTGTTTTCTTTACTATTTTATTTTTTCTCTAGTGTTTTGGAAGGCCTAGTCCTTATTTGTATTCTTTTGGTGGTAAATTCTAAGTTTAAGTTGGATTTTTGAAAAACAGCTTTTTTGGGGTGTAATTGGCATACAATTAGTGACACATATTAAAAATGGACAATTTGATACGTTTTGACATATATATACATTTGTGAAGCGTCACCACAATCAAGATGTACAAATCCCCGCTCCTAAAGCCTCTTCTTGGCTTTCGAACTCCCTTTCTCCTTCCTCCCTATCTCCTGTGGCTTCATCTCCCCAGGCAACCATGGATCTGCTTTCTGTCACTACGGATTAGTTTGCGTGTTCTAGAATTTTACACACATAGAGTCATGAAATATGTACTCCCTTTTTTGTCTGTTTTTTCACTCAGAATAACTATTTTGAGATTTCTCCATGTTGTCTCACGTATCAACAGTTCATCCGTCTGTTGCTGAGTATGTTCCACTGTATGGATAGAGGAGCAATTTCTCTCTTCATCTGTCGGTGGGCGTTTTAGTTGTTTCCAGGTTTGGACAATTTCAGATGAAGTTGATGTAACATCGATATACAGATATATGTATAGAAAAACCTCCTTTCTCTTGGGTAAAAATACCTATGAGTGGAATGGCTGGGTCATATGGCAGGTGCATGTTTAACTTTTAAAAAAACCTGCCAAACTATTTTCCGAAGTTCTTGCACTGTTTTACATTCTTACCAGCAGTGAATGAGAGCCCTAGTCCATCCACATTCTCACCAGCACCAGGTGAGGGCGGCCACTTTAGCCCCTCTAAGTAGTGTGCAGCTGTATGTCATTGTAGTTTTAATTTGCATTTTTGTAATGGAAAAATAAGTTGAGAATCCTCCAACATGCTCACTGGCCATTCAGATATCATCTTTGGTTAAATATCTGTTCAAATCCTGCCTTATAAATCAAATTGGGACAAATAGAATTTAATAGATCATATCAACATTCATATTAAGTAAAAATGGCCTATACACCCAAATTAAAAGATAAGGATTTTAACATTGGATAAAAAAGCAAGACCTAACTATATGCTGCCTATAAGAAACAAATATTAGCTGTAAAGACACATATACATTTAAAGTAAAGGTATGAGAAAATATGTACTATACTAACATTAGTTAAAAGAAAATTGGTATGGTTATACCAATATCCAAGTAGATTTCAGAACAAACAATATTGTTGGGGTATAAAGAAGGTCATTTCCATAATGACCAAGATGTCAGTTAATCAAGAAGAGTTATCAATCATAAACGTTGATGAACCTAACAATAGAGTTTCAAAACACCTGAAACAAATACTGATAGAACTACGAGGACAAATAGACAAACGAACATTACAGTCTTCTTTCAATAATTGATAGAACAAGTAGGAAAAACTAATGAAAAATAGATTTGAACACTGTCAATCAATTTGACCCAATTGTCATTTATAAGACACTCCACACAAGAGCAGAATATACATTCTTCTTAAGTGCACACAGAACATTTACCAAGATACACTGTATTATGGGCCATAAGTCTCAGTACATTAAAAAGCATTCAAACTATACAAAAGTGTTTTCTCTGACCACAGTGGATTGAAATTAGAAATCAATAACTAAAGGAAATCTGTAAAAACCTTAAATACTTAATTAAATAACACATTTATAAATAATCAATGGTCAAAAAATAAATTAAAATATAATTTAGGAAGTATTTATATTTAACTAAAATGAAAACATATTAGAATTTGTGGGATGCCATTAGAGCAGTACTTAGAGGGAAATTTTTAGCCTTAAAAATGCTTCCATTATGAAAAAAGAAAGAACTTCAATCAATGGTCTCATCTTGCGCCTTAAAGGCCAGAAAAAGAAGAGCAACTTAAATTTGAGGAGCAGAAAAAGAAAACAATAAAGATCAGAGTAGAAATCAATGAAGTAGAAAATAATAAAATGCAATAATAATAGAGAAAATCAATGAAACCAGAAGCTAGTTATTCAGAAGCTTAATAAAGTTGATAAACCTGTGGCTATATTCATCAAGAAAAAAGAAGAGAAGACACAAGTTACCAGTATCAGGAAGGAGAAAGGTGACATCACTGCAAATTTATTTTGCAAATATTAAAAGGATGGTAAAGGCACATATTATGGACTTTATACCAGTGTATTTGACAACTTAAATAAAATGAACAAATTACTCAAAAGATACAAACTACCAGAGTTGACTTAAGAAACAGATAATTTGGCCCTATATCTATTCCAAAAGTTGAATTTACTGTTAAATTCTTCCCCAAAGAAAACCTCACACCTAGATGGCTTCACTAGCAAATTATGCCAAACATTTATGGAAGAAATGATACCAAATCCACACAAACATTTTCAGAAAACTGAAGAGGAGGGAATACTCCTTCCAGGAGGCCATCATACTATGATACCAAAACCAAGACATTAAAATAAAAGAAAATTACAGCAAATATCCCTCATGAACATAGGTGAAAATATTCTAAACACATTTTAACAAAATGAACCTAACAATAGTTTAGTTAAAGAAAGACAGTACAACCAAGTGGGATTTAAGTCAGGAATGCAGGTATAGCTTAATATCAGAAAATCAATCAATGTAATTTATCATATTAATAAAACCATGAAAAATCATATGACGAAGCCAAAAATGCAGAAACATAAAAAATTCAATATACTTTAATAATAAAAACTCTCAACAAAGTAGGAATAGCAGGAAACTTTCTGAATCTGACAAAAGGCATCTGTAAAAACCCTACAGTGAACGTGACGCTTAATGTAAAAGCTTCAATGCTCTTTCCCTAAGACTGGGAACAAGACAAGGGTGTTCTCTTTCATCACTTCTACTCAATATTGTACAGGTTCTAGTCTGTGCAATACGGCAAGAAAAAGAAATAAAGGGCGTCCATACTGGAAAGGGAGCAATAAAGCTGTTTTTACTTGCAGACAACATCATCATCTATATACAAAGTGTAATGGAATCCTTAAAAATATTTTAATTAATAAGCGAGTTCTGGCTGGGCGCGGTGGCTCACGCCTGTAATCCCAGCACTTTGGGAGGCCGAGGCGGGCGGATCACAAGGTCAGGAGATCGAGACCATCTTGGCTAACACAGTGAAACCCCGTCTCTACTAAAAATACAAAAAATTAGCCGGGCGCGGTGGCAGGCGCCTGTAGTCCCAGCTACTCGGGAGGTTGAGGCAGGAGAATGGCGTGAACCTGGGAGGCGGAGCTTGCAGTGAGCCAAGATTGTGCCACTGCAATCCGGCCTGGGCTAAAGAGCGGGACTCCGTCTCAAAAAAAAAAAAAAAAAAAAGCGAGTTCAGCAAAGTGAAAGGATACAAGATCAATCAACAAAAATCTATTGTTTGCCATGTGCTATTAGCAAACAATCAGAAAATAAAAATTAAAAATACCATGTATAGGCCAGGTGCGGTGGCTCACGCCTGTAATCCCAGCACTTTGGGAGGCCAAGGTGGGTGGATCACGAGGTCAGGAAATCGAGACCATCCTGGCTAACACGGTGAAACTCCGTCTCTACTAAAAATACAAAAAATTTGCTGGGCATGGTGGTGGGCGCCTGTAGTCTCAGCTACTTGGGAGGCTGAGGCAGGAGAATGGCGTGAACTCGGGAGGTGAAGCTTGCAGTGAGCTGAGATTAGCCACTGCACTCCAGCCCGGGCTATAGAGTGAGACTCTCTCTCTCAAAAAAACAAAACAAAACAAAACAAAACAAACCCATTTATAATATAAACATATAAAATAAATATTTTGAGATAAATCTGACAAGATATATGAGAGACCTGTACACTAAAAACTGCAATGCTGGCTGGGCGTAGTGGCTCACGCCTGTAATCCCAGCACTTTGGGAGGCTGAGGCGGGCAGGTTGCCTGAGGTCAGGAGTTTGAGACCAGCCTCACCAACATGGGGAAACCCCATCTCTACGAAAAATGCAAAAATTAACCAGGCATGGTGGCGGAAGCCTGTAATCCCAGCTGCTTTGGAGGCTGAGATAGGAGAATTGCTTGAACCCGGGAGGTGGAGGTTGCAATGAGCTGAGACTGGGCCATTGCACTCCAGCCTGGGCAACAAAAGCGAAACTCCATTTCAAAACAAAAACAAAAACAAAAACAGAAAACAAAACAAAACAAAAAACCCACTGCAATGCTTTGCTGAAAGAAACTAAAAAAGATCTAAATAAATGAATGGTTATACTATATTTATACATCAGAAGACTGAAAATTGTTAAGATGTCAATTCTCCCTGGACTGATGTATAGATTCATTTCAATCCCAATCAAAATCCCATTAGGCATTTTTGTAAGAATTAATAAGTTGATTCTAATATTCATATGGAAATGCAAAGAACTTGTAATAGGCAAGACAACTTGGAGAAAAAAAGAAAGTTGTAGAATTAATACTATCCAATTTCAACTTATTATAAACCTACATTAATAAAAATAATGTCTTATCGCTATGAAGATAGACAAATAGGTCAATGGAACAGAAAAGAGTCCAAAAATGAAAGGCAGGATGTGGTTTATAGACTTCCTTCTCTTTGAGGTTCCTGAACTGGAAAGACATGAGTCCAATGCTGGAAACAATTTCCTCCGGTGAATGGAAAGCCTGTGAGAGAAAGTGGCCAGTGCAGAGGAAAGAAAAGCATGGGTGGGGGGGATCAGATGGATGCTGATCGTGGAGCACCTTGATTCAGCCGAGCCTGCAGCCACTCTTCTGTTGGACTTTTCAATTAGACAAGCCAATACATTTTGTTCATTTTTCTTAAACCTGTTTCTGTTTACTTGGCTGCACTTAGGCATTCTAGAAGTTTTTCCAGGTTCCTTCTGACATTTACCTGGGATTGAAGCCAAGCTATAGACTCCAGGGAGGAAAAGGCAAAAACCTATGCCTCTGTAGTCAAGTCCTGTGCAAACACCAGTTGAGGCTCCTCTTGTACCCTGGATGACTGACAGTGATGACATCCAATGGCTCACCTCCCTTCTCATGCAGGGCCCCAGGCAGAAGCTTCCTTTAATGTCTAGTGGGAGGTTTAAGGCATCAACGTTTTCAAGACTGAGTGGGAGGTATCGGGCTTGTCTGGTCTCTTTAGCTTGTTAGTACGTATGAGGATGACCTCATGGGACTGGAATGGTCTGCACAAGGCTCCGCCAGCTTCTCCTGTGAGGAGTTGTCAGTGTTCCAAGTCGCAGGCGAAGGCAGCATTGTCACTTGGTGGATGAAGACCTTGGCCTCCTGAGGAGGGATCCCTCGACAAGGTCCCCCACCTCTGCTCATCTACTTCATTCTTCCTACTCCAAAGTGCAGTCAATGCCTGTGTTTGGCCCTTGCTCAAGGGCACCTGAACATGGGGCTGTACCCCAAGCCAACTGAGTGAGCATCTCTGACATGGGTTATGGGGCCCAGGTGTCAGTACTTTTCTGCAGTTGCTCTAGGCAGACAAGTTTGTGAACCTTGCCTCCGTGCTCCAATTGCTCCCCATCAGGTGTGCCTGCCTTGTATCCTGGACTTTTATGTCCACATTGTGCTGTGTGAGCCAGTGACCCTAGTGAAGTACAACTGTCCCCTCTGAGCCCCACAGCTGTGTGTGGGCACAGACAAGCCCTCCCATCTCTGCCCAAAGGCCCCAGATCTCCATGCTTTGGGCTGCAGTCTCCAATCCTGAGAACATGTCTGCTTCAAAATAGACAACTACTGGGACCCCAGAACTCAATAGTCCACTTCACCTGGGTAAAACTGAAAGGCAAGATTGGGCTGGGCATGGTGGCTCACACCTGTAATCCCAGCATTTTTGGGAGGCTGAGGCGGGTGGATTTCTTGAGCTCAGGAGTTTAAGACCAGCCTGGGCAACATGAAGAAACCCTGCCTCTACAAAAAATACAAAAATTAACTGGGCATGGTGGCACATCCCTGTAGTCCCAGCTACTTGGAGGGGCTGAGGCAGGAGGATTGCTTGAACTCGGGAAGTCAAGGCTGCAGTGAGCTGAGATTGTAGCACTGTACTCCAGCCTGGGTAACAAAGTGAGACCCTGTCTCAAAAAGAAGATGCTTACCCAAACTTATACCATATACCATAAGCCAGTTAAAGATGGGGAGGCCAGAGGTTGGAAATAAACCCAGTGACACAGCAAGTTCGGACTACATCTCAGCAATCCATGCAAAGTTTTCAAATGTGGTCTCAAATCCCCTGAGGCCAATGCCCAAAACCTCTGGACCCAGGCCCAGCGGAGGGTCATAATCTGTTCATTCTGTGGATGTCTGAGCCGGACTGACTTCACTACTGATCCCATGGACATTCAAAGATAATAAAGTAATACTATTAATAACTCTATATCCACAAGTTTGATAACTTAGATGAAATGAACCGATTTCTTGAAAGACACAAACTACCAAAACTCACACAAGAAGAAAGAGGTAATCTTAATAGGCACATGTGTATTACAGAAATTGAATCCATGGTTAATAACTTTCTGGAAAAATAGCACCAGATTCAGACGGTTTCACTGGTGAAATCTACCAGTCATTTAAGGAAGAAATGGTACCAATTCTCTAAAATATCTCCAGAAAAGAGAAGCAGAGGGAATACTTCCTAATTCTTTTTATGAGGCTAGGATTGCCCTAATAGCAAAACTAGATAAATGCATTATGAGAAAGGAAAACTGCAGACCAATATGTTTCATGAAATAGATGCAAAAATTCTCAACAAAATATTAGCTAATTGAGGCCAGGCACGGTGGCTCACGCCTGTAATCCCTGCACTTTGGGAGGCCAAGGTGGGCAGATCACAAGGTCAGGAGATCGAGACCATCCTGGCTAATGTGGTGAAACCCTGTCTCTACTAAAATAAATAAATAAATAAAAATTAGCCGGGAGTGGTGGCAGGCGCCTGTAGTCCCAGCTACTCAGGAGGCTGAGGCAGGAGAATGGCATGAACCCAGGAGGTGGAGGTTGCAGTGAGCCGAGATTGCACCACTGCAGTCCAGCCCGGGCGACAGAGAGAGAACACTGTCTCAAAAAAAAAAAAAATTAGCTAATTGAATCCAACAATGTATAAAGTGTATAAGTGGAACAGAATACAGATCTTAGAAACTGACTTACCCAAGTGTAGTCAACTGATCTTTGATGTAAGCGTGAATACAATACAGTGAAGAAAGGATAGTCTTTTCAACAAATAGTGCTGGAACCATTGGACATTCTCATGCAAAAAGATGAATCTTGACACAGATATTATACTCTTCACAAAAATAAACTCAAAATGGATCATAGACCTAAATATAAATTGCAAAACTATAATATCTTAGAAGATAACATGGAAAGAATCAAAGTGATTTTGGGTTTGGCAATGAGTTTTTAGGTACAATACGAAAGGCATGACCCAAGAAAGAAAATATTGATGTTAGATTTCATTAAAATTAAAAACTTTTGTTCTGTGAAAGACACCATTGAAAATGGCAAGCCTCAGTGGTGCCCCGATTGGAGGCTATTGACCTGGAGAAGTTGGGGTAGCTATCTAGAAGTGGGGCTCCTATGTGATTGGTTAGGGGAGCACATTTGACTTCCTTTGGTTGATCCTAAGTTGGAAGTGGGAACAAAAAAATGGGACGGAGTCAGTTATAAGTCAAGTCCTGGCCATTTGGGGCTGATTGTTGCAAAGGCTATTGTTTGGCTTCCTGGACTGTTGGTAGAGATAGCGATCTGACATCTTACAAGTCTGAGGTATAGCAGGCTGGCTTCCTGGGCTGGTTACTATAGATAATGGGTTAGTTTCCAGGGCTGCTTCCTGCAACTTATTGGTCAGAGTTCTATTTCTATAAGGTCTGTCCATTTGTATATTTAATCTTTCAATTGTTGTCCAAAATATATAAAGAAACCTCAATACTCAGCAATAAGAAAACAAACATTCTGATTAACAATGGGAAAAAGATCTGAACAGACAGCTCACCAGAAAGATACAGATGGCAAATAAGCATATGAAAAAGATATTTGAAACCATTTGTTATTATGGAATTGCAAATTAAAACAATGAGATGCCTCTACACACAGATTAGAATGGTGAAAGTGAAAACAAAAAAGGAAAGAAAAAAAGAAAAGAAGCTGATGGCACCTAAAGTTGGTGAGCAGTCAGGGCACCAGGCCTGGCCATTCCCTGCTGCTGGGGTGTTAAATGGTACAGCCACTTTGGAAGACAGTTCAGCAGTTTCTTACAAAGTAAATAAACTCTTACCATAAGATCTAGCAATTGCACTCCTTGGAATTTATCCAACTGATTTAAAAACGTATGTCGACACAAAAACTTGCACATGAATGTTTATAGCAGCTTTCTCACAGTCACTCAAAACGAAAAGCAACCAAGATGTCCTTCAATAGGTGAACAGATAGACTTTGTACACCCATACAATGGAATATTTGGTGATTAAAAACCCACCTATCAAGCCACAAAAAGACCTGGAGGAATCTTAGATGTGTATTGCTAAGTGAAAGAAGCCAGTCAGAAAATGTCACCTACGGCTGGGAGCGGTGGCTCACGCCTGTAATCCCAGCACTTTGGGAGGCCGAGGTGGGTGGATCACGAGGTCAGGAGATCAAGACCATTCCTGGCTAACACAGTGAAACCCCATATCTACTAAAAATACAAAAATTAGCCAAACGTGGTGGCATGTGCCTGTAATCCCAGCTACTCAGGAGGCTGAGGCAGGAGAATTGCTTGTACCCAGGAGGCAGAGGTTGCAGTGAGCTGAGATCACGGCACTGTACTCCAGCCTGGGCGACAGAGTAAGACTCTGCCTAGAAAAAAAAAAAAAAAGAAAATGCTACCTACGTATGATTCCAAATATATGACATTCTGAAAAAGACATCCACAAAGACAGTAAAACATCCAGTGGTTTCCAGTGGTTGGTGGGAGGGAGGGATGAATATATGGGACACAGACAGTAAAACTGCACTGTAATAATGGATATTTGACAGGCATTTGTCAAAACCTATAGAACTTTATAGCCCAGAGGAACTCTTAATGTATACAAATAAAAAAAAATTATTTAGGAGGTCAAGGGATCCCAGGAGGGAATACTGACTGTGACCAGAGAATCCAACTGTATTACAAATGTGTAAAATTACCTCACTGAAGAGACAATGGGAGAGCAGGTGCTGCCCTAAGGGTACTGCATAAATGAGTGGAGTGGGTAAGACCAAAGGCAAAAGGGAACTGAGCATAAGCACTGCACTCTAGCTTATGGTGCTTCCCATGGAAGTACAGATTCACAATCTGATCCCACAGCTCATGTGCACTGGAATTGAGTGATTCTTTTTTTTTTTTTTTTTTTGAGACAGAGTCTCACTCTGTCACCCAGGCTGGACTGCAGCGGCACAATCTCGGCTCGCTGCAAGCTCTTCCTCCCAGGTTCATGCCATTCTCATGCCTCAGCCTCCTGAGTAGCTGGGACTACAGGTGCCCGCCACCATGCCTGGCTAATTTTTTGTATTTTTAGTACAGATGGGGTTTCACCGTGTTAGCCAGGATGGTCTCAATCTCCTGACCTCGTGATCCGCCCACCTCGGCCTCCCAAAGTGCTGGGATTACAGGTGTGAGCCACCGTGCCCGGCCGGAATTGAGTGATTCAGTAAATGGATCATGAGTAGTGGGAGTCAGGCTTCTCACTCTGAGGATTTACAGATAAAGCAGGGGATGAGACTAGAATGGTTCATGCATTATTGAATTTGAGTGGAAGGTATCAGTATAAACTCATGTTTAGCATAATACAGATACAAACGATTACATATAGAAATATTTATAGATATGCGTATGTGCGTTAATTAGTATACATATACCTCTCCTCTGTCATCTGAGACGGCCTAGAAGCAATCATATTCCAGTAGCAATAAACACACCTAGTGCTCAGATCTTGGCTTCTAATACTGTTCTCCAATAAAAAGAAACAGGGCTCCTCAGAGAAATGGCTGATTCTGGGACTGGGGCAAGAAATATACAAGATAAATCTATAGAAAGGAAGTACTAAAAAAAATCTCCAAATCCTACCTTAAAGGGACACAGGAGCCAACTGGAAGAGCTCCCAATGGCCAAAGCCAGAACAACTTGAGCAACAAAATAAAGTAGGGTTGAGTCATGACCCAAAATATGACACAGGTGTCCATGAGTCAGTGCTGACAGACATCAGTGACTGAATAAACTACATGGGAAAGAAGAGACAAATCACCATTGCCAAAGGATTCCAAATAATTTACGCAGATACCTTGCCCTCAAGGAGGGGACCGCGAGTCCCCCTCCTCAGGTGTGGGCTGTGCACCTTGACTTCCTTCCCAAGAGTGTGGTATGGAAGGCAGGTGATAACTGTTGAGGGGGGTGATGACTATCTGGGTGGTGGTGGTCCGGGGTAGGGGGAGCATCAAAGAATTTCCCAAGACAGTTGTAGATAAAGAAGGGCAGATTTATTAGAGAAAATAGGAAAATACGTTGCGAGGAGGAAACAGGCGGACTCAGCAGAAGAGGAGCTGACTGCTGGGGTTCAAAGGCTTGCTGGAGGTTTTATAGGATGGTTCTTGGGCTGCAGAGGGCTGCGTGCGGTACTGATAACGCCAGGGTTGCAGGGAGCTACCTTGCATTTTTCTATCAGCTGAGGGTCTGGTGATAGCTGGGTGCAGGAAGATTGTGAGTTATCTGTGCAGGAGGGCTGTGTGTCCTGCACCGTGAAGAAAGGCAGACTTATACCTCTTCTGCTGCTTCTTTTTGCTTCCCCTGCTCCCTGCAGCCTGACTCCTTTTCCCTAATTAGGACCCCACAGTGACTTCACAGCGGAGAAGACTGACAGCACGACCTCAGCCGGGGGCCAAGGTCAATGTCAGCAAGGACAGCCTTGTTGAGAGCACGCGCCCTGGGTAGGATGTGACGCCAGTGGAGTGCTGCCGCCGCGCTTTCTTTCCCCTGGCGCATAACACCAGTCACTCATGAGAAAAATAGCACGTTCCAAGAGTGGGGCATCCTGCAGAATTTCTGACTGGTACTCCTAAAAACTGTCAAGGCCATCAAAAACAAGGAAAGTTGGAGAAACTGTCACAGCCGAGAGGCACCTAAGGAGACATGCCGACCAAATGTCATGTGGTGTCCTGGACGGGCCCTTCCTGGGACAGGGCAAGGACATTAGGGAAGAATCAGGGAAATCTGAATGCACCATGTAGAACAGGGCCTTTAGCCAATACTTGTGTTTCAATACTGGTTCATCAGTGGTGGCAGATGCACAGCACTAATGTAAAATTTTAATAATAAGGGAAGCTGTGTGAGGGCTATATGGGGACTCTGTGACATCTTCTCAATATTCCTGTCAAAACTGTTCTAAAAATAAAGTCAGCTTAAAAAACTGTCAGCAACATGCACGCAGCTCTGGAGAATGGGGAGCAGCCCTCATGAAGTCGTGTGCATGAAAGGTGAAGACTTCACATCAACGAAAGCCATTCACAGGTCTGTGTTTGGAATCCCAGGGTTTGGAAAACATGCATCTCATTTCCTCTGGAGGTGAAATGTGAGTTGGTCCTGCTGCCCACATGCATTCCCTCAAGATGCAGAAAGCCATGCCTGGCTGTCATTCTGCTGATTAGGCCCGGGCAGGGTTGGACCGCTCCACATCGGGGCAGCAACCCAGGTGACCACACGGCAGGGATCTCCTCCACGGTTGTGTGGGAAAGCCCTGGAGACCGAGGGACGTTCAGCAGCATCATGGCCCCCACATCTCAGGCAGGCGGCATGGGGTGCTAAGCCCCTTCCTCCCCTTTAAAAAGAAGAATCATGGTTTTGTTTTGTAAGAAAGGTCCGGCCTCATATTTAAAAACTGAGTAACATAGGAGACCAAGAGGAAGTCAAAAGCATGCTCCAAACTCTCCTTCCAGATAACCAACTTTGTTCAATCTCACAAAGGACAACTTTCCTCCAAGGGTCCAGTAGAACTGGAAAGAGGGACAGGAGTAGAAATAATGTTAGTCACGGGCATCGTTTATCAGAAAGAGCATCTCCTGTGTTTGAGTTTCACAAGAACAAACCAAGGTGAAGCCGAAGGAAACACTTGAAATAAAGGTTTCACCTCACAGAGACTCAAGCACTGGAAGACCTGCTAAAAGCTACCGTGAAAGAGCTTGCGAACGAAGGGAACTCCACGTTGGTAAACCAGATGTTCCGGGTTCCAAGTTACATTTTTACTCCCAACCCCTCCATGCTTTCTAACGTTATTATTTTTTGGACGTGATCAAAGTTTGTAACATTTAACTTCTGTTCCTCACACCGTGGTTTCCATTGTCACTGTCACCCGGTTTAACATTCAGATGATTCCAGAGCTTGTCCCCAGCCTTTGCTGTGGTTCCTACCCCCTTGAGTTTTGTCTTCATCAGCGTTTGTCACCTGGATTTTGTCATCTGAGGTTGCTGGAGAGGCCCCTGTGCTGGCTCACCGTGTAATTTATCATCCTACCTGGAGCACTTGACTTCTACTTTTTAGACTTTTTATCTGGAAATGATTTCAAACTTAGACAAAGTCACAAAAGCAAAAAGAGTGCAAGGAATAGCCATATACCCATTGCTCAGATTTACCTATTATTCTATCCCATTTGCTGTATCATTTGTGTTGTAAGAACAGGAGTATTCTCTTACATAACCTCAACACAGTCATCAACCTCATACATCTCCATTAGTATTAATAAGAAGTATTTTTACATGATATGCCATCTGTATTCCAATGTTGTCAGATGTTCTAATAATATCCTGTAATTAATGAATTAAAAGATGAGGTCTAGCTCTGTTACCAGGCTGAAGTCTAGTTGTGCAATCATGGCTCACTGCAGCCTCAACCAACCAGGCTCAAGCGATCCTCCCACCTCAGCCTCCTGAGTAGCTGGGACCACAGGTGCGCACCACCACATCCAGCCTCTACTAATGTCATTTGTAGCCTTTGTAGCACCCTTTCCCTCTCAAACTTGAGCACTTTTTAGAGCAAGAGTTTGCTATGGACAACTATGCTGGTGATGCAGGACAGGCAAGCCGCAAAGTGGGGCTCAGCCTGAGAGGGTTCTTGGCTTTGCCCAGGAAAGAATTCAAGGGCAAGCCAGAGGCAGAAGAAAACAGCTTTATCGAAGCTGCAGTGTCACAGCTTCAGTGGTGTTATAGCTCCAAGACTGCACCTGCTGGGCCGGGCTACCCCATAGGCAAAGAGGGGAAGCTCAGGGCTGTTCTGCTCATATTTATACCCACTTTTTTTTTTCTTGAGACAGAGTCTCACTCTGTCACCCAGGCTGCAGTGCAGTGGTGTGATCTCAGCTTACTGCAACCTCCGCCTCCCAGGTTCAAGCGATTCTCCTGCCTCAGCCTCCCAAGTAGCTGGGATTACAGGCATGTGCCACTGCACCTGGCTAATTTTTGTATTTTTAGTAGAGATGAGGTTTTTCCATGTTAGCCAGGCTGGTCTCGAACTCGTGACCTCAGGTGATCCACCGGTCTTGGCCTTCCAAGGTGCTGGGATTACAGGTGTGAGCTACCGCACTTGGGTTCCCACTTTTAATTGCATGCAGATTAAGGAGTATGCAGGGAAGGGGCAGTAACTTTTGGATCATTGGGTACCATGGAAAGAGGCAGTAACTCCTGGGCGTTGCCATGACAACAGTAAATTGACATGGCACACTGGTGGGCAGGTCTGATTGAAAGCTGCTTTCACCCCAGCACTGTTTTAGCTAGTCCTCAATCTGGTCCAGTGTCTGAGCCCTTCCTCTGGAGTCAAGCCCCACCTCCTGTCTCACTGGGACAATGGGAATCTCGGGCTGCCACAGGCCCGGGAGATCCCCGCTTTCTCCTCCTGTGGGCGCTGTGTATTCTTCAAGTTCTTGCCTACCTAAGAGTCTGTTTCCTTTATACGTCAAGTCAGGATTATCGGATATAAAATCCTCAAGTCAAACATTTTTTCCATCAGAACTCTGTAGCTACTGTGTTCTGATATTTAAGTGATGCTCCGTCTGATTATTTCCAACCCCCTGAAGTTTAACAATGGCAGCAGCATACATCGTGCTGTTTTGCTGGCCCCACTCCTGCCCCCAGAATGTGTGCTCTGCAGAGCTGCAGATCCAGGCTTAAGGAACATGTATTTTGTGATAGCCCAGAGTCTATTTTTTTTTTTTCAGGCTTATGTGTTTTGTTTTCTTCTTCAGGAACATCAATTGTGCATGTGTTATATCTTCTTTGTTTGAATTCTGTACTTACCGTCTTATTTTTACATTGTAGAAACTTTCACTTTATTGTGTGTGACTTCCTCAAGCTCAACACTTTATCCTTTTAAAGGCATTTTCAGCCATGTTTATTTTTCTCTTTGTTCAGATGTGGTTATGGTCTCCAATCAACTTCTCTCTTCCATCTCTTTTCTGGGCTCCAGTGGCTCACACCTTCTGTTATCTTATCATCTCTTCTTTGAAACCACACATCTCCTTTTTGAGCGCTTCTCCCTTTTAGGAGATGAGGTTGTCTTGAAGCAGAAGAAACCTTTTTGTCTGAACTTTGCCTGTGTTTCCTTGGGTCGTTCTCCCAGGGGTGAATGTTTTTCATTTGTCTTTTATGTATAATTCCTTCATTTTAATTTTTGAAGTATTTATGCATAGGTGTGAAGTCACTTCCTAATAGTAACTTGTCTTTAACAGGGGAGGGCTATCTGCTGGGGGTGTGGGAGAGAGTGTATGTGTGTGAGTGTATGTGTGTGTGTGTGCATGAGTGCGTATGTGTGGGAGTGTGTGGGATGTGTGCATGAAAGTGTGTGCAAAAGTGTGTGGGTGCATATGTGAGCATGTGTCTGAATGTATGTGTGAGAGAACGTGTGTGTGAATGTGTGTCTGAATGTGTGTGTGTGAGAAAGTGTGTGTGAATGTGTTTGTGAATGTGTGAGTGTGGTGCATGAGTGCATATATGTATGTGAGAGTGTGAATGTGTGTGGATGTATGTGAAAGTGTGTGTGAAAATGTGAGTGTATGTCTGTGAAAGTGTGAATGTGGCTGTATGTCTGTGAAAGTGTGTGTGAATGTGGGTGTATGTGTGTGAACGTGTGTGTATAAGTGTGAATGTGTGTGGGTGTGTGTCTGAATGCATGTGTGTGGGTGTGTATGTGTGTGTCTGAATGTGTGTCTGAATGTGTGTCTGAATGTGTGTATGAGTGTGAACGTGAATGGGTGTATGAGTGTGAATGTGTGTGGGTGTATGTGTGTGAAAGTGTGAAAATGTGGGTGTATGTCTGTGAAAGTGTGTGGGTGTGTATGTGTGTGAATGTGTGTGTAAATGTGTGCATGACTGTGAATGTGTGTGGGTGTATGTGTGTGAATATGTGTGTATGACTGTGAATGTGTGTGGGTGTATGTGTGAATGTGTGTCTAAATGTGTATGTGTGTGGGTGTGTATGTGTGTGTCTGTGTGTCTGAATGTGTATGAGTGTGTGTCTGAATGAGTGTGTGGTGTATGTGTGTGAAAGTGTGTGGATGTATGTGTGAAAGTGTGAATGTGTGTTGTGTGTACGTGTGTAAGTGTGTGAATGTGTGTATGTGTGTGAAAGTGTGTGTGCATGTGTGTGGGTGTGTGTGAGAAAGTATGTGTGAATGTGAGTGTGTGTATATGAGTGTCTGTGTGTGAATGTGTGTCTGTGTGTATGTGTGAGAGAGTGTGAATGTGTGTGGGTGTACGTGTGTCTGAAAGTGTGTGACTGTGTGTGAGTGTGTGTGAATTGTGTGTGTGGCCATTGCAGGCCACGCCTCCACTCTGGTTTATTTTCTCAAGGGCTCTCTCACAATATCTGTTTTCCTTTCCTGGTGGACACACACCCCTTCAGCCTTTAGTGCAGGCCGTTAATTGTGGCTTATAGATGCTTCTAGACAACAGCCCCTATGTCATCAGCTGATAATCACTATTATCAACGTCTCAAATGTCTTCTAGAGTTTCTTTAGGAAATTACAAGCAAATCTGAATCTATTCATGTTTCCATGTTTATGCAAAAGGTAGCATAGGTAGCATAGTACACCTGTTCCTTTGCAGGTGCTGTGAAGTTTGCCTCTAGACACTGTGCTGTGAGGAGTAGGCCTCTACATGTGCCGCTCGCTGGGCACGTGAACGAGAGTGTTTATAGACTGCTGTAGAGTTTGCCACTAGACACTGTGCTGTGAGGAGTAGGCCTCTACATGTGCCGCTCTCTGGGCACGTGAACGAGAGTGTTTATAGACTGCTGTAGAGTTTGCCTCTAGACACTGTGCTGTGAGGAGTAGGCCTCTACATGTGCCGCTCTCTGGGCACGTGAACGAGAGTGTTTATAGACTGCTGTAGAGTTTGCCTCTAGACACTGTGCTGTGAGGAGTAGGCCTCTACACGTGCCGCTCGCTGGGCACGTGTACGAGAGTATTTATAGACTGCTGTAGAGTTTGCCTCTAGACACTGTGCTGTGAGGAGTAGGCCTCTACATGTGCCGCTCTCTGGGCACGTGAACGAGAGTGTTTATAGACTGCAACGTTTTCAAAAGTGGAGTCGCTGGGTGAAAGAGAACATGCATTTGTAATTTTGATGGAAGTGTGCACATTGCCCTCCAGAGGGGCTGCACCTGTGTGTGCTCATGCCAGGGAGGGCTGTCTCTCCCCGGCCTGGCCAGGCAGGGTGCTATCAAGCTTTTGGGTTCTTGCCACTCTGATGGAGGAAAATGTCCTCTTGGTGTAGCATCTATTTTTAAAAATTGAAGTGAAATGTGCAGATATTAAGTGTAGAGTTTGAGGAGTTTTGAGGCATGCGTATCTGAGCACAGCCCCCACCTCCATGAAGATGTAGCACACTCCACACCCCAGGTTCTTCCAGGCCCTTCCTGTTCAGTCCTTCCCACCCAGGGGCAGCTGCTGTTCTCATGTCTTTCATGATAGAGTCATTTTGCTCTAGAGCTTCTTGTACAGGGAGTTGTAGAGTAAGTGTCCCTTTATGTATTTGTCTGTTCACACTCTGCTGATAAAGACATACCTGAGACTGGGTAATTTATAAAGAAAAAGAGGTTTAATGGACTCACAGTTCCATGTGGCTGAGGAGGCCTCACAACTATGGCCGAAGGAGACAGGCACGTCTTACGTGGCATCAGACAAGAGAGAATTAAGAACCGAGTGAAAGGGGTTTCCCCTTGTAAAACCACCAGATCTCATGAGACCAGTAACGGGGAAACCGCCCCCATGATTCAATTATCTGCCACCAGGTCCCTCCCACAACATGTGGGAAATTCAACATGAGATTTGGGTGGGGACACAGCCAAACCAATCCCCTTACATCTGTCTTCTTTCACTCAGCACGCTGATTTTGAGAGGCATGTGTATCTTTTTACCAGCCTTCATTGCTTTTCCTTGCCAATGGACCATTCATGGTGTGGATGGACAGGACGTTTATTCACCTGTGGATGGACGTTTGGGTCTTTTCCCTTTTGGCTCAAGGAATAAGGCTGCATGGTGTTTATCACCGATCTGTGTGTGGACAGGTTTCGTTTCTCTTGGGCGGGCACCCTGGAGAGGAGTGCCTGGGTTGTGGGGTGGGTACGCCACCTCATGAGGCCCTGCGGGGCTGGCTCCTGATGTCAGCATCTGGATGGGACCATGTCCCTCCACCCTCAGGGCCCGGGAATCTCAGATGCCCCACATCCTCACCAACACTTGGTGTCGTCAATCTTCTTGCTTTTGCCATTTAGTGGTGTAGAGCAGGGTCTGAGGTTTCTTTTGTTTCCTGGGTCTGGAACATCTCCTCAGCTGTCACTTAGTACATTTCAAAAGAGTAAGCCCCACCCTTTAAAAAATGAACCCTGCATGGTTGCACACTCCTGTATTTCCAGCTACTAGGGAGGATGAGGTGGGAGGATCGCTTGAGGTGGGGAAGTCAAGGCTGCGGTGAGCTATGACTGTGGTATTGTACTCCAGACGGGGCAATAGAGAAAGACCCAGTCTCTAAATCAATAAATAATAAATGAGGGCTGGGCACAGTGGCTCACGCCTGTAATTCCAGCACTTTGGGAGGCCAAGGCAGGCAGATCACCTGAGGTCAGGAGTTCAAGACTAGCCTGGCCAACCTCGTCTCTACTAAAAAGACAAAATTAGGCTGGGCACGGTGGCTCATGCCTGTAATCCCAGCACTTTTGGAGGCTGAGGTGGGCAAATCACCTGAGGTCAGGAGTTCAAGACCAGCCTGGCCAACATGGTGAAACCCTGTCTCTACTAAAAACACAAAAAAATTAGCTGGGTGTGGTGGCACACCCCTGTAATCCCAGATACTCAGGAGGCCGAGGCAGGAAAATAATTTGAAACTGGGAGGCAGAGGTTGCAGTGAGCCAATACCGCACCATTGCACTCCAGCCTGGGTGACAAGAATGAAACTCTGTCTCAAAAAGAAATAATAATAATAATAAATGAAGTGCCAATTGCATGGCTGCTCAGGAGGCCACACCCTGGAGGAGGCCTGATCCATGGCTTGTGTGGGACTTTTCAAACAGTGTTTAGCAGCTAGGTGGAGACACAGAGAATCAGGCAGCAGGGGATCTAGTTTGAATGCATGTCGCTGCCAGATCTCATGTTGAATTGTGATTCCTAGTGCTGGAGGTGGGACCCGGTGGGAGGTGTCTGGGTCCTGGGGGTGGATCCTCATGGATTGGTGCTGTCCTCGCAATAGTGAGTGAGCTCTTGTGAGACTGGGTGGTTTAAATGTGTGGGACACCTCTCCGCCCCGCCTGCTCCTGCTTTCTCCCTGTGGCATGCCTGTTCCCCCTTCACCTTCCACTGTGACTGAAAGCTTCTGAGGCCTCCCTAGGAGCCGAGCAGATGTGGGTGCCACGCTTCCTGCAGAACCCTGAACCAATTATACCATTTTTCTTTATAAATTGCCCAGTCTCAGGTATTTCTTCATAGCAATGGAAGAATGGCCTAATACAGCTGGGGGTTTATGTTGGGATTTGTCAGACGGGTGCAGTGGTGTTGGTGAGAGAGGTGGCCGTGGAATCTGTGCGTGGCCGGGTGGGATGGAGGCCACGACGCCTCCTGTCTGAGGGCAGCCAGCTGAACAAACCGGGCTCAGAGCTCATCAGGTGGATGAGTGCTGGGCCTCAGAGGGCTCTGGGTCTCTTGTCCAGTGATGGCCTCTCCAGTGACCTTTGTGTCTGCCCCAGCTCCATGGCCACAATCCGGATGTTGCTGTTATCCTGGAAGAAGAGCCCCAGGTCCCAGGATGGCTGATGTTCAGGGAAGGCCCATGCAGTGGGGGTGAGATGGTGCGGGTCTGCGTGGGAGGAGACTGGTTGGAAGGCAGCAGCACTGAGGGCCGGGGGTCCCCACACCACCCACAGCCACAGACCCCATCCTCTAGTGGAGGCTGCTGCCGTCCCCAAGCTGGGCCTCAGGGCTCTGAGCAGGACTGTCCTCCTGGCTTCCTGTGCTTGGGATGAGAACATCCTGGCTGACCCGGCAGGCCCCAAATCCAATGGCAAATGTCCTTGTAAGAGAACATGGAGGAGGCACACAGAGGCAGAAGAAGCCCACATTGAGACAGAGACGGAGTTGGAGGGAGGCCTCCACAAGCCCAGGAATGCTGGAGCCCCCAGAAGCTGGAGGAAGCAGGAGGGGTTCCCGCTCGAGTCCTTGGGGGAGCGCAGGCCTGTGAGGGAGGCCAGCACACTGCAGGCCTGTGACTTTACCCCAGAGGCCTTGGCAGGATGTTATCACTGAGCCATACTTGTGGCAGCAGGGCTCCCATCCTAAGAGAGGAAGGGGCCTGGAGGCCACAGGGGAAAAGGGCCATGGGAGGTCAGGAAACCAGGCTCCAAGCCTGATCTCCAGGACCAGGATGGCTGCTGGGAAGGTACCCTGAGGGGGCCTGCATCTGCAGCCAGGGAGAGGATAAGGAAGCCAGGCCTGTGGCCTGGGACCTTGTAGAGCTGATGGGGAGAGGCCTGAACTGCTCTAAGGAGATGAAGCAGAAGGCCCCTGTCCACCTCTGAGGCTGAGCAGATGCTCAGTTTTGTGTGGCCCCAGCATCCTGGCAAGGCGTGGTGCTGACCCAGCTCGGGAAACCTTCCCTGAGATGCTTTCACTTCTGACTCTCCCTGCACAACCTCCTTAGATGGCTCCCACTCTGCCCACACTGATGAATGGGCAGTCCTGGGAGCGACAGACAGTGGGTTCCAATTCTATGCCGCTGCCACAGTGGCCAGGCTGCAGCCCCCAGGGACTCTATAGACCCAGGTAAGAGTGACAGAGTGAACCAACAAAACTGTCTATTAAAATGTGGAAAACAGAAGATGGAAAAATCCTGAAAGTAGCTGGAAGAGGCAGACGATCTTCAAAACAGCAGCCAATATCCGCACAATTGGCCCCTCAGTGTGGTCCACAGAACCCAGAAGACCATGACCATGGAGCACACTCACAAAGATGGCGTGAGGTGCAGCATCTTGTATTCATCCTGGAGGAAGGAGCTTGACATACGCCACACCTCTGGGCCCTGGAGACTTCACTGATGGGCAGGCCTCTGATGTTTTGTGGGGTTTATTTCCTACCTTCTAGTTAGTGTGTGTCTTACTAAGGCATTTAAAGTTATTTTCACTTCCTGCTCATCAGACACAGTCAGCTCAGTGTAATGTCATGAGTGTAGAGGACCAGCGTGATGCTTTGTAGGTGGGAAAATCTCTGCTTCTTATCACTGCAGGTGGGAGAACTGGCATGACCCAGAAGCAAGACTGTGAAAGGGCACTGTTGGCCCGGCCAGGTGAGAAAACCAAACTGCTCTGGTGATCTTTCCAAACTGGTACAGAGAAGACATTGGTGAGGTCAAGAGCTGAATAACAAGGGCTAGGGGCCATGCCATTTTCTACAGTAAAGATAATACATGTGGGACAACAGGTGCACCTGGATTCACCACCTGCTTCAGTTTACATCAGTGCACGGTCATTCTCCAAGGTTCACCCAACTTTTACACAGGCTTGACAGCCGAATTAAATGTGTGTGTGTGTGTGTGTGCAATGATCACTTCTGTTTCTTTCAAGCCTTGATGATGGCGTTAATCTCTGCAGTTTCCCCGGGAATGTGATATTGATTCTGGTTCTCTTATGGATAGGAAAGGAAGTCCCAGCGTTTTCCATCTAGTTCCTCTACCACAAATGCCCTCACTCCAGGGCTCAGGGAACCATGCTGGGGATCCCGCTAGTTGGCAGTATGTCTATTCCAATTATACATTCAGGAACTGGGGATACAACCAGACTGTGGGTCCGTGGACAGCCTACCCTGTGAGAGGTGAGCTAATGGGGGTTCCATCCATGACCTGACCACTGTATGTTCCCATGTGACTGATGGGCTGTGCTCGTGTTTTGGGTTCCCAAGGATTAGCATCAATTCAGAGCCCTGCAAAGTTCCATTCTCCAGCTCACAGTTACTCCCATGAATGGTCGTACATCCCTTTGGGAAAGGCGTGGAGGAGTATTTCCAGCATGGGCTGCAAATCACAGGTCATTGGATTGTGCATTGAGTTGGGTGTGCAAATGGGTGAGAGGCTGCGACTGGCCACTGCGGTGACTCAGGTCGGGGGTTTGGCTGGCACACCTGGGGTTCTCCTGTTATTTAGACCAAAGAATACCCTAGTAGGCTGCCCACCACTTTTGTCCTTGAGACCCTGTGATTAATTAGCTGCCACCAAAGACCTTGGTGATCAAGGTGCCATGGTTATGTGTGTCCCTGCTTTCCCTCGCTGTCGGTGGGCTGCCTGGTCTCTGATGTCTAGGTGCTGTGTTAGCCTCTGCTACTTCAGGATACCATCGTCCCCACTGAAGGGAGGAATTTCTCATGGTGACATCTTCCACAGTCACACCTGGTCTACAACCAGAGAGCTTGCAGGGAGCCTACAGCCAAGGTGAAAGCATTGCTTCACACCTTAGTCAAGAGAGTGTCCTGTGGCCCCTCAGGGACCACAGCTGGGAGGTGGCTGTGAGGTTGCACATAAATCCAGCCCAATAGTCCTTTCTCCCTAAGCTTTTGGGCTCTTTCCTCCACATCACACCTCCTACATGAACTGTAGGCCACGACAAAGTTCAAGCTTCAGTCGAGCCACCAAGTAAGCTGTCTGAGCCACCTCCAGATGCACGCGTTAACACATGAAATCCAAGCTCTCTGGAAAGTGCACCTGTGTCAAGGAATTTGGCCTAATCTAAGGTTATATTTCCCCTCCCCTCCTTGGTCTAACGCCCATTTAATCCACTCTCAAACACGTTCCCCATGTTACTGCAGATTTATATTAGCAAATTACTGCGATTCTTTTTATGTGTAAATCAATCCCTCCTGGGTCTTAGTGTGTGTCTTTCTCCCTGGAGCATTGGAGATCTGACCCCACTTAACCAGTGGCAGGTGCTAGTTATGGGGCGTCTTGAGGAGAGAGGGCATCCTGAATCTAACCTAATCTGGCCCGGGTTCGGTTCTTGCAGGGTGTTCAAGCCTAGTGGGGAGAGTCTTAGGCACAGGGGCACAAGCCAATGCAAAGGCAGAGTGCCGTGGGGGAAGTGTCTGGACTCATGTTCTGGGCTTGGCAGAGTGAGGATCTCTGCTGTCCTCCACAGGTGGGAGTTGGGACTCAACTCTGGAGGTGGGGCTCAGACACTGGACCAAATCGAGGACTAGCTAAAACAGGGGTGAGGTAAAGCAGCCTTCCATAAGACACACCCAGCAGTGTGCCATGTCCGTTTACCATTGCCGTGGCAAAACCCCGGGGTTACCACTCTTTTCCATGGCAATGACCCAGCGACCCAGAAGTTGATGCAGAAATTTCTGCATAAACCGCCCCTTAGCCTGCATGGAATTAAACGTGGGCATGAATACGACTGCAGAGCCACCCTGCACGGCTACTCTCTGCCTATGGGGTAGCCCTGCCCTGCAGAAGGAGTCACAGAGCTGTGACATGGCTGCTTCAATAGAGCTGTTTCTTCCATCTCCAGCTCGCCTTTGAATTCTCTCTTGGGTGAAGCCAAGTACTCTCACGGGCTGAGCCCCACTTTGGGGCTCACCTGCCCTGCATCACTCCCTTTGGACTGGCGTTGAGTGAACCTGCTTCCCACACCCACGTCCCATTCCCCCATGTTGACGTCTCCCCTTAGTGGGGTGCGCTTGTTCCAGGTAATGAACCAATACCGACACATTTTTCACTAGAGCCCACATTTCATTCACACTTTCCTCTTTCCTGGTTTTTCTCTAATGTCTATTTTCTGCCCCAGGGGCCCGTCCAGAATCCCACGTGACCTTTCATCATCACGTCTCCTTAGGCTCCTCCTGGCTGTGACAGCTCCCAGACTTCCCTTGCTTTTGACGAGCTTGAAGTTTTGAAGAGCACTGCTCAGGCATTAGGCTGCCCCTCAACCAGGATGTGTCTGTTTTTCTCGTGATGAGACTGGAGTCATAGGTTTGGGGGAGGAAGACCGCAGTGGTGAAGTGCCATGCTCATGCCATCCACGGGCGCACACAGTTGATGTGGCTCGTGGCTGGCTGGGGCCTCTATCACCTGGTGGGATAGCATGTCAGGCTTCCTTGCTCACGCCTCCTCAGCACACTGATCATTCTTTTGCTCTTTCTCATAGCAAAGGCAGTGACTGCACTGCCATTGGAGGGCAGTGACTGCACAGCCCGCACGTAAGGGGTGTGGGGCAGCTACAGAAGTGATGTAGAGTTCGTCCTCTTTGGAGGGAAGTGTCTGCACAGCCCGCATGTAAGGGGTGTGGAGCAGCTACGGAAGTGGTGTGGAGTTCTTCAGCATGGGGGCTTTGCCTCTTTTCCTTCACTTATTTATTTATTCATTTATTTAATCATTTGTTTCTATCAATATGCATTTATGGATATTTATTTTATAGTTTGGGTTAAAATCTAATGCTATATTTTCTTGCTCAAATTGTTCCAGCTTTGGCTGTTGGGAGTTTTTTTTGTTTTTTTTTTTTTTTTGACAGAGTCTCACTCTGTACCCCAGGCTGGAGTGCAATGGTGCGATGTTGGCTCACTGCAACCTTCGCCTCCTGGGTTCAAGCGATTCTCCTGCCTCATCCTCCCGAGTAGCTGGGATTACAGGCATGCGCCACCACGTCTGGGTAATTTTTGTATTTTTTTAGTAGAGACAGAGTTTCTCCATGTTGGTGAGGCTGGTCTCGAACTCCCGACCTCAGGTGATCTGCCCACCTTGGCCTCCCACAGTGCTGGGATTACAGGCGTGAAGCATCGCACCTGGTGGGGAGTACTTTAGGTTGGCCTTGGTGTCCCTTTGACACGCCCCATCGTGTGTGTGTGCGCGCACGTGCATGTGTGTGTTTGTGTGTCTGTGGGTGCATGTGTTTTTTGTGTGTGTTTGTGCATGTTTGTGTGTGCGTGTGTGTGTGCACGTGTGTGTTTGTGTGCGCATGGGTGTTTGTGTGTGTGTGCGTGTGTGTTCGTGTGTGTTTGTGTTTGTGTGTGCATGCTTGTGTGTGTGTGTTCGTGTGTGTTTGTGTGCGTGTTTGTATGTGTTTGTGTGTGTGATGTGGGCATTTCCTTACTTTTTGGCACTACAAGGTGCTCCATGTTGATTTTCAGCAGTATTCTCCCTGTGGCTGCAGGAATGAGGGATTCTTTTGGAGCAACTATGAATACTTTATTTTTCAGAGCATAGTCTGCATGGGGAGGGGCCCCCTAGCTGAGCATCATCTTTTGGAGGGGCCCCAGTGCATCAGGAACACTGTCCCACACTGTGGTCCTTGTCATCACACTTGCCACTGTACACGTCAGAGCAGCAGCCTCATGGAACCCCGAGGCACACGCTTCAGCTGGCGTTTCATGAAACCACCACAGGTGTCGGCTTGATTGATTATGATGTGAAGGTGGGCTGGGGATCGGGCTTGGGGTTGGGCTGTGGGTCGTCAGCATCTGATTTCTTATTGGCAATAAACTCAGCACTGCACTTGCGTCACAAATACAGACAAACCAATCCAATCCCAGCCTCATGGGGTGTCCCTCAGGATGGCTCCTGGTACTGACTCTCTATCAGTCAAGGTCCAATCAGGAGACAGGCGTCATGCAGCAATTTGAACAGTGAAAGTTTAATATAAAGAATTCTTAACTATAAGAGGGCGTTTCCTGTTGAGTGGCATGAGAATGCCAAAAGCACAGGAACAGCAGATACAGGCAGCAGCTACTTCTAGGTGGAGACAGAGTTCCCCAAATAGAAGCAAATTTGGAGAGGTCAAATCCCATCCCGGGCTGTGATCCCAACTCCAGCGGAGAGAGTGTGTGTGTGGCCCATAGGGTGGGGGAGAGGTTTGCTGGGATGCCATGCTGCCGAAGTGGGTGGGAAGGGGTGGGAAGGGCTGCAGGGAAGCCACCCCTGCAGATGACGTGCTGGGAAATGCCCCCTGGGGAGGTGCCGGGCTGTGGAACTCCGTGGCGAGCTCCTGGCAGACAGGTTGCCTGTTAGAGCACTGTTGGGCTGTGAGACAGGAAACACTGCACTATTTGATTTCAACAACATTCGCCCTAGGGCTTCAATAAATAAGAGATCTTTTGGATGTCATGGAAACTTTCTGGGGTGGGGGGCATAGTAGAAGGTCTTGCCTGGAGAGTTAGAGAGGGGACAGGAAACTGGGAGGCCCTGAGGCCGTGGATTAGGTGGGAAGGAGGGTCAGAAGAAAGGGACTCTGGAGATCTGACATGCTGTCTCCACAAAGACCAGCATCTCTGCCAGCCCTGCCTCCCCCTCAGCCTCCTGCCTACCCTGCTCCAGCGGACTTCGAGCCCAGCAGATCTGCTTGGGACGTGACTGACCTGTTCTGTTCAACTTCCCTGGCCTCAGACGGGAAGGCCCTCTGGCCATCCGCTCTCATTCCCCAGACCCTCTTGCTTCTCTGTTCAGCGATAACCATGGGTGCTGCTGAGAGGGGCCAGGTGCTGGGCTATCTCCTTCCCGGCAGGAATCACTTTCCTCGGCTTCCTTGCTGCAGGATCTTGCCTCTGTGAGGCCTTTGTGCTGGGCAGGGTGGAGTGCGGGACCAGCACTGGGCCCTCCAAGCATCACCGTAGTCCATGCCTTGGCCCTGCTCCAGGACATGCTGAGCCAGGTAGCATGCACCCCTGCCTCCACCAGGATGGCTCCCTCTCAGCCCAGCCTTCTGGGAGAACAAGACTCTCCACCCCAGCCCTTCTATGTCCACGGCGGAGCCCCTCCAGCCTGGGAGAGCTGCTGTGTGCAGCTCCCTGGACTCAGCCAGGGTCTTTCTACCACGTTTTGAAACTGAAGAGCCGGGGGTCCCTGGAGGCCATTACACTTACCCTGCTTGTTTTTCAGAGAGGGAAACTGAGGTCCACTCATGGGTGGGAAAGGCCTGGAGCCCGAGAGTCAAGACCCTCATGTCTATGAAAGGCCTCATATCTGGGAACAGGCCAGATGCAAACAAGCTGACTTCTGCCAGGGCCTTAGAACAGTGCCTGGCCCCCGAACATGCTGTGTAAGTGCCGATGATAGTAATAACAACAACAGCGGCCTCTGACCTTGGGTTCCATGACACCAAACTCAAGTCCAGCTACTATTCCGAGCTATCCGGGTAACCACTGGTTTTCAGAGTGCGTTCAAATGTTGGCAGGCATTTCGCAAAACGACCCTCTCCCCAGTGCCTGGAAGGACACCTGGCACATAGTGGGCATTCAGTGTGGATGTGTAGAGCGAATGAATGAATGAGTGACAGGACATGCAGATGTCCCCAGGTGGGAGTCTCCCACTCCCTCACAACGCAGTTCATGAGGCAGCTCGTGTTCCCCAAGCCCTGGGTCTGTCTCCATGCAATGCTTCCTCCAGGAAGCCTTCCTGGATGCCCAGCTGAGTCAGGAGCCTCCTGAGGGCCTCACTCCAGCACGACTGGAGTGCAGTCCATCGCCATTGCCCACCTCTTGTCATTTAGGGACGTATGAGCATCCTGAGGGCGGGTGCTGGGCCAGATGCATCTCATATCCTCCTCCTTCCTCCCCATATCTGGGCAATTGTGAATTCCTCGTGTTCTCTTCTCCTAAAAGTACATCAAACCCACCCACTTCTCTCTGCCCTTCCCCGCAATGGCTGTCACACTGGCTGGGGCCATCGTCCCCTCTGGGCTGGCCCAGTGCAGGGGTCTCGGTCCGTTCTTCCCAGTTCCTACCCAGCTGCCGGCAGCCTTGTCTCTGCACGGCTGTCAGAGGGAGCAGCTGCTGTCCTTCTCCTCCTTCTCAATGAGGTGAACTCATCATTTTAAAGGGTATAATTCAGTGGCATTTGGTATATTCACAGTGCTGTGCAGCCAGCACCACCACCGAGCTCCGAAGCATGATCACCACCCCAAAAAGAAGTCCTGTGTTCATGACACAGTCGCTCCCCATTGCCCCTCTCCCAAGCCCCCGGCAACCCCTCATCTTCCTGTTTACGGATTTGTTGTCTATTCTGCATATTTCATGTAAAAGGAGTCATACAACACGTGAACTTTTGTGTCCAGCTTCTTGCAGCAGAAAGTTTTCAAGCTCCAGCCATGTAGCAGGAATCAGTATTTTATTTCATTTTATGGCTGAATAATACATATTCTGTTGTGTGGCTAGACCACGATTTGCTCATCCATTCATCCGCGATGGACATCGGGCCAGAAGGAGATTCTTAAAGCATTCATTTGGTGAAGTCTCTTCTGCTCAGAACCTTCCAGGGGCTTAGCAAGATCTACAGGCCTCTTTGTGGCCCAGCCCTGGGGCCCCGGGGACTCCTCTGCACCACCCCACCCTCATCCTTTTTGGCTCCACGCCCTGCTTGCCATCTTCCACCTCACCACACTCTGTCCTGCCTCAGTTTCCCACCTGCCTTCTCACTGCCCAGGCTGAGCATCTCTGTCTGTTTCCCATGACTGGGCTGTACTTATCCTTCCAGTCCATGTTGGAACGTCACTTCCATGGGGACACCCTCCTCAGCCTCCTAGTCACGCCACGTCAGCCACATGCAATGACCGTGGGCCCCATTAGACCCATTCAAGGACGGCACATGGGGCTGAGTTATCCTCCCATTCTCGCCTCTGCAGCCTGAGCTCCTCAAGGGCAGTGCCAAGTCTGATTGGTCTTGGCAACCCCCACAGTACACAGCAACCCTGCCAGGGCGCCTGGCACGGAGGAGGTGCTCACTGCAGGCTGTGCGGACTCCTGGAGGGGCGTGTGTGTGTGGTGCGTGAGGAAGTGCCAGGTAGCAGTGCTGTATCATGGGTAGTGCTGTTTCTGCTTGGCATGGAATAGCAAGTTGGCATCTGGTACAAACTAGTAACTTCTTATCCAGTTGGCCCAAGCACAGAATTGGTCTATACCCATACCAGAGGATGTGACATATTTTTATTTAAAAAAAAATCAATAAATCATTTGTGGGACTGTCACCAGTAACGATGTGACTGAATTAACCTCTCATCTGCCATGAGGGTGATCTTTTTGTTACTTGATCTTAAGTAACTCACAGAATCTGGGGCACCTGTCAAGCAGGACCTTTGGGCCAGGGGTTGATCTCTAAGCCACTGGAGGGCAGGACTCTCAGGGAACCCTCAGGTGCCCACCAGCCCCTGCTTCTCTGGGCACTCGATGTGAAAGGTCCAGGCTGAGGAGCGGTGGTCCCTGATCCCAGGACAAATCCCCCCTGGTGGTGGCCCTTTGGGTCTGAAATCCCCGCTCTGAGCTGATGTGGTTGCATGGATGCTGCTGAACAAACCCGAGGGGGCTGCTGCTGACGCGATGGGCTTCTGGTGAACTCCTGAGGGAACAGCTTAGCTAGGGGCAGCTGGGCTGCACCATCAACACCTTCTCCTGAACATTGGCCCCCTTGATCCCCGACTGACCCAGATCTTCTGTATCCCCGGGCCCAGCCACCCGGCCTGGCCTGGTCCCACTCCCCAGCACAGGACACCTCCGCACCTTTGTATAGGCTGGGCTCCTGGCCTGGAGTGCCCCATCTGCACAAGCCCCTCTCCCTTGGGAGGCCTTCTAGAACGTTCCGACCCTCCACTCCTTTCTTGAGCCCGAGGAGTGCTTGTGCTTGGGTGTGCGTGGTGTAGCCCAGCCCGATAGCTCCTGCTCAGCCTGTCCCGTGTGTCTGCAGCCAGGGTTTGGAGGATGTGGCGCTGGGCGCATGCTTCCCTCGGCTGCCCCTCCCTCCCTGCCCTGGCGGGGTGTGGGGTGCCCATGCCAGAGAGTGACTGAAGGCGTCCCCACCATGCTCACTCCCTGTGAGCTGCCCTGCAGGGGCCAACTTATCCCAGAAACAGGCTGTCCCCCAAACCACACGTTGTTGACTTTGAAGCACGGTGCATGTTTTGGCAGCAGATTCACCTTCTTAATTATGTCTCTCGGCTGCTATTTCAACCAGCGTGTGCTCCGAGCATGTGCCAGCCTCCACAACGTCTGCGTCCCCCACAGGACGGCTCTGCATTGTCCCCTCCCATGGCTCCTTGTCGTCGCGGGGCTGGCGATGCCGAAGCCACCCTACCAGGCTCCCTGTCTCGGCTCTCCTTCCCCATCGCTGCCTGGCTCTGCGCTGACCACGGGGGGAGCCCCGACCACCCCAGCCTCTCATCTAAGGCCCCACTGTCAGGCTTAGCCTCAGCAGCCTGTGGCTGCCTCCCTCACCTCACCATTCCCTTGGCGGGGTATTCTTTGGGGACACCCGACATGCCTGGCTTGTTGCAGCTTCTGTGCTTTTTCTTTTTTGAGACAGGGTCCTGCTCTGTCGCCCAGGCTGGAGTGCAGTGGTGCAATCACAGCTCACTGCAGCCTCGACCTCCTGCGCTCAGGTGATCCTCCAGCTTCAGCTACCCAAGTAGCTGGAACTACAGGCGTGTGCCACCATGTCTGACTAATGTTTGTATTTTTTGTAGAGACAGGGTCTCACCATGTCACCCAGGCTCATCGCAAGCCTGTGCTTCGGTTTCTTTTGATCCTTCTCTCTTGATGTCCTTGGCTTCCAAAAGGATTCTGTGGTTCCGAGGGCCCCTGAAGGCCCCCTGTGGCAGGAGTTTCCCCACCACTCCCCAGGGCATCTCCCATCTGCACGCCTCTCGGCCGGAGCTTCCTGTGCCCTGTGCCCCTGGATGGGTGCTCTTTGCAGGTAGGGGTGGTGCACGAGTGACCCTCAACTTCCAGCCTCTGAGCACTGCATGGCAGCTGGTGGGCGGGCAGGATCTGCTGGGCTGGGTTGTCCTGGGTCTTGCACTTGTTGTCCATGGTCTTGCTGAGGGTCCATGTGTGACCCTTGTTTCTCTATGTGGAAGTACATGAGAAGCACAAACGCAGGGCAGGGGATCACAGGCGAGTGGGATTCCTCCTGCGACTGCCCCGAGCCACATGTCTGCATACTCAGACCTGCCTACAGGTACCTGGACAGCTCTGGAAGGTGCTCACAGGTGCACTGCGGGGAGAATCTCGGGGAAGGAACAGTATGGGGGACTGGGGTGCAGGTGAAGGAGGCTCTCACTTTTTAATATCAAGCCTGCTTTCGTGTAGTATTTGTATAGCTGTAAAATAATATTGTTAAAAATAACATCCTCATTTAAATACTTTTTTCTTTTTCTTTTTTTTTTTTTTTTTTGAGATGGAGTCTTGCTCTGTCGCCCAGGCTAGAGTGCAGTGGTATGATCTCAGCTTACTGCAACCTCTGCCTCCCGGGTTCAAACGATTCTCCTGCCTCAGCCTCCTGAGTACCTGGGATTACAGGCGCGCATCACCATGCCCAGCTAATTTTTGTATTTTTAGTAGAGACACTGTTTCGCCATGTTGGCTAGGCTGGTCTCGAACTCCTGACCTCAGGTGATCCACCTGTCTCAGCCTCCCAAAGTGCTGGGATTACAGGAGTGAACCACCATGCCCAGCCTAAAGACATCTTTTAATAGGTTAAATAATAGAAAGTCCTTTTAGGAAATGCCACTGCTCTCTGTCCCCTGTGCTCCGTGACTTGCCCACCTGCCTGGGGTGTGGGTGGGAGGCTGGCCCGGACCCCTGCCTGGAGGCCTCCGTGTCCTCAGCCCCAGCTGCGTGCATTTCTTCATGCGTCCCCTGCACACAGGATGCACCGTACCACGTGCCCGGCTGTGGGCTGCGTGTGTGGTAGGGATGTGCAGGTCCCCGGGTGGCGAGGGGGGTTCTGAGTTCCCGGGAGGACATGGACAGGGAAGGAGATGCAGGAGAGACACACACAGGGCCTGTGGGGATTCCAGGGCCAGAGCTGTCAAGCTCGGCGGCTGGAGCTGAAGATGGGGCGGGCTGTGCGGCGCTGGTGACGGGCACCGTGGCCTGGCTGGGGTGCTCAGGTACCAGCTGCTTCTCCTGGCTGGGTCTGGCTCGGTCTCAGCACGTGGCCAAGCCGGCAGCACAAGCACAGGCCTTGGTCTTGGCTGGGAGCAGGGCTGGCCCTGCCAGGCACCAGATCAGAGCCAGGAGCGCGCTGGCAAGCCCCGCGGGACATATTGTGCATCAGCTACCACGGCAGCCCTTCCCAGACGGGCCTCTGCTCGCCTGGGGAGATGGTGGCAGAATGCGGAGGTGCCCAGCCCTGGCCACTGCCCCACCCCTGCACTCTGACCTGCCAGTCCCAGAAATGTCCTCTCAGAGCCCTGGAGTCAGCGGGCGCTTTCTGGGGAGCTTTGCCTTCTCCCCTCTCCCCATCTGTCCCTGACTATTGGAGTCAGTGCTTGTGTTTGAGCCCCCGAATCAAATAGCTTTGCAATTTGTCAAATTATGCAGAAGAGACAGAGGAGAGGAAAGGGAAGTAGTTTGGTTCTATTATGTGGAAATTAGCTTTGAAACAGAGGCCGTTTGCCTGTTAGAGCAATTTCTCTCCATTTATTTCTAGAGAAAATTGCCTGTGTGGCTCACATCCTCATCTGGTGGGGCTGGCTGTCTCCCAGGCCACTAGGCATGGGGGCTGGAGGCCTGCACCAGCCCTGAGGGCGTCTCCATCCTGGCCAGGGAATGGAAGGGAGACCAGGAGGCTTCATGCTGCTGCCCCTGGCCCTGGGGCAGGAGGGGAGGGGGCAGGCTCCGGCTCACTGCCCAGCCCCCATCTACCTCTGAGACATGTCTTGGTGGCTCTTGGAAGGCCAGGTCCCCAGCTCCCTAGAGGATGGGCCTGGCCAAGCCTCCTGGATGGGGGTGGGAGGCCCTGCCTGAGCCTGACCTTGGCGGGAGAGTGCTGCAGGTGATGCTGGGATGGGTGGGAGGGGACTCCAGGAGGAGGGACCAGCTGAAGGCACCACAAGGCCCTGTGTTTGGGAAAGGGCAGAAGTCAGGCAAGACCTAGAAGTGGCAATCCCAACTGCATTTTCTATCCTTCCAGGTGGAGCTGCCACCTGTCTGCAGATCCCAGCCCGGCCAGCCAGCTCTACTGCAGGGCGCACTGGGGTGTCTCGGGGAGACTGGCAGAGTGATGGCTGCAGGCTGCTGCCCTTCACGGAGCCTCCTGTGGCCACACTCGTGGGGTGCCCGTATCTGCTGCCTGGGGGTCCCTGCACGAGCCCTCTGGGAGGCATGCGGGCTCCAGGGTTCCAGTGGGGAGCTTGTAGTGTGGTGAGGGGGGACCTGCTAGGGCCATGCACCACTGGAGGGCAGCAGCCCCCCACCCCTGCAACCCTGTCTGCTGCTCCGGAGCTCCGAGCAAAGTGTACACCTGGGCATCCTGAAGGAGACTCAAAGCCAGGACGCTCGGGTGGGGTCTGAGTGCAACATCACACTTGGCCGTGGCTGAGGGGAGAGGGCAGCCCTTTTGTGCTATTATCATATTGTTTTGGGGAAATTGCTTTTTATGAAATAAATTTTACATAAAGTGAAATGTGCAGATCTTAAGGGTACAACCTGATGAGTTTTGACAAATACACACACATAACCAACACCCAACCAAGTTGTTTTGAGCTTTATCTGTGTAGTTTATCCATTTTATCTTTGAAGGGTATTCCATTTTATAAATATAAAATCTATTTATGCTTTTTCCTGCCAGTGTACCTTTGGGTAGTTTCCAGTTTTTGACTATTATAAATACAGTTGCTATAAACATTCTTGTGCAAGTATTTTTGGGGTACAAATGTTTCTATTTCCTTTGGATAAATAGCTAGGAGGGCCATAGGACAGGTGGAGGTTTAATTATGTAAGAGATTGCCAAGCAGTTTTCTAAGTGGCAGCACCGTTTTGTACCCTCACCTGCAGTATAGGCGAGTTCCGGCTTCTGCATATCCACACTGACATTTAGTATTGTCAACCCGATGGGCAAAAAACTACTTCCTGGAGATTTTCGTATCTATTTCCTGATGATTAATGATGTTACACATCTTTTCATGTGCTTATCCAGCATTTATGTGTCTTCTTTTATGAAGCATCTTTTAATTGGATTTTTTATTATTGATTTGTAAGAACTCTTTATATATTTTGGATAAGTGGATTGTCTTTTTATTGTTGATTTGTAAGAACTCTCAATATATTCTGGATATAAGATGTATGTGTGTGTGAGTGTGTATATATATGTGTATATGTGTGTGCATATATATATACATATATATTAATAGAGTTAGAGAAAATATATGTGTGTGTATATATACACATATATATACACACACATATATTTTTTTCCCTAATTTTATGAAATACCTTTTTGTTTTTTGACAATGTCTTGATGACCTGAAATTTTAAATGTTGATTAATTTCTGCTTGTTGTTTTTTCTTTATTGGCCAGAGCCTTTTGTGTCCTCTCTAAAGAGTCTTTGTTTACCTCAATGTTGCAGATTTTCTCCTGTGTGTTCTAGGTATTTCCTGGTCCATATTTTAGATTTAGATCTGTGGTTTATCTTAAATTAATTTTCATGTATGGTGTGAGGAAGGGGTTGGGGTTTATTTCCCCCATAAATGTATCCAGTTGCTCCAACATCATTTGTCAAAGAGACTTTCTTTCTTTATTGAATTTCCTTGCAGCCTTTGCTAAAAATCGATGGGAAATGTATTTATGGGTCTAGTTCTTGTCTCTACATTTTCTTCCATTATCTAAGTGTCTATTTCTTCGCCAGTATCTCACTGCCCTGATTACTGGGCTTTGCAGCATCCTGAAATCAGATCGTATTAGTCCAACGGTGCTCTTTATCCAGGATCATGTTTCTTTTCCAGGTCTTTGCACTTGCAAATGCATTTTAGAATCAATCAATCAATTTCCGTCAAAAAGCTCATTGGAATTATTATGAAGATCACATTCGGTCTACTGATCATTTTGGGGTGGCTGAACAACATCCTAGCCATAGAGAGTCTGCCCATCCATGAACTTGGTATACTTCTCCATTCATTCAGCTCTTCTTTAATTTCTCTCAGCAATACTGTTGCAGTTTAGGGGATAGATCTGGACCTGGTGCTGTCAGAGTTAGGGAATGATATGGGCAGAGCATTTGACTGTAATCTGGGAAGCAAGGACTGGTGCCCACCTGCAGGCCTGTGGGGACTCTGGGCAGCAAGGCAGCCTCTCAGCTTCTGCCCAGGCAGCAGCCACAGCTCACTGTGATGCCAGGTATGCACACTTCCAGGGGGCCCATTGTCCTTCCACCCACCTTCTAGTCCACACTCAGGAACGTTCTAAGCCATCCCTGTCGGGTGGGGCAGGAGAGGGGAGAATCCAGACCTCACAGGAGCCCCAAACCCTGATATCTCCAAAGTGCCCTTTTGCCAGCCCTGGTCTCTGCTTTTGTGTCCTGGGTTTGGCTACATGTTGACAAAGATGCTCACTCGGAAAGTTGAGCAAGACCAGCTCTCATCTGTTGTTATGGTTACGAGGCAGGAAAAACAATTTCCTGTGAGTATCTTCTGATCACTCCTGTCGGATGCTGGAGCAGATTAGGCCAGGCACCATGGTGATGGCTTCTCTGGTTCTGTGGGGGACCATGTGACATTCATTTTGACCTCACACATGGGGTTGCAGTCTGCCGGCTCAGTCAGGGGAGATAGACGGATCTCATTAAGAACCATCAGAGGATCACTTTGCTGGTTTTATTGCAGTTGCAAAATTGCCTTTACCTCACTCTCTCCCAAATGCCAGATTACAAACATCACAAGAGATCAAGAAGCCTGGGTGGGCCCAGGAACGCACTGAGTGCACGCCAGTGGGCAGTGACCAATCACCAAACCCAAGGGAGTCCACATGGCGAGCTGTCTCCTTGCTACATGGGGCCTGCCTACTCACAGCTGGGAGCCCCTCCAGCACCAGGAGGCCCAGGTCTCCCCGAAAAGAGAACACACTCTCTGCAGGGGCAACTTCCACCTCCCCACCGACCCAGGCCCCCCAGTTGCAGAGCTGCAGAATGGCAGAATTGGGCCCCCCAGTTACAGAGCTCCCCAGAGCTGCAGAACGGCAGAGGGAGGCAGCAGGGAGACAGACCCATAAGTCTGGTCTTGGAGAAAGGGGTGGCTGCAGCCAGGTGGAGCAGCAGGCTGGGCCATTTCCTGGTCACAGAATCTTCTATCCCAGCCCCATGGCAACCTGGGGGCAATCTCCCCCTCCGCTCTCTCCTGAGGGAGAATCTCCCCCTCTGCTTGTTCTCCAGGCAGGGCCTGGGCTGCCCACGGTGGAGGAGAGGTTCACCCTCAGCCAGCCAAGTCTCTGCCCTTCTCTTCCAGATCCAAGCGCCCAGTGTGGCTTGCAGTCCTTACCTGTCTTCTCCTCTTGCTTTGGATGAAGCTTCAGGGTCCTGCCAGTGAGGAAATGGCCAAACACTGAGAAGGTGACCCCGGCCAGCTGACACCCCACGGTGGCTGCTCTGCGATGGGCAGCTGCTCCAAACCTGGGCCTGGGGCAGGGGGCAGGAGGAAGGGGGTCTGCAATGTGGTGGTTGCCTTGCTGGAAGCTTCTAGGACAAGAGGTCTCCTTAATGGCAGACAAGTGGGGAGAGTGTCTGGAGGTGCCTGGCGCCAAGATGTGGGGTGAGGTCGCCAGGGAGGGGTGCAGGGGAGGGGCTGCACACTGCTCCTTGGGTGGGACAGAGCAGGGACAGGGAACGAGGAGGCTGAACTTGGGGGCCAGGGAGGCCAGAGGAGGCTGGGTGGGGTAAGGGTGCAGGCAGGTAGGGAGTGTGTGTCTGAGAGGAGGGCGGCGTTGCTGGGGGAGCCAACATGCCAGGAGGAGCAGGGAGGCAGGAGAGGAGGAGGGGTGGTAGTAGGTGGGAGACCCCAGTGGGTTTCTATTTAGGAACTCATTTCCTGCTTTGTGATGTCCTCAGGTTTTAAGTTGCCTGACCCTGCAGGTGGAAAGGCTGACAGTGGCAGGTGGGGGTCCCCAAGCTGCCCCCAGAACCAAAGGTCAGGCAAAGGCTGCAGGTGGACCTCAGCTCTGAGGCTCACCTCCCTCTTGGCCCCTCAGGGTGACACCTTCTAGGAGGTCCCAGCGGGGCAGTCATCCCAAATCCAGGCCTGTTGCTTCCTGCCTCCTTCCCCAGCCTCACTCAGGGGCCAGCCAGCCAAGGTCACCTTGGCTATGATAGGTCAGTGTGGTCCCAGGTGGGGCCCTGACACCTTGTCTGAAAGACATGGAGGAGGAGGGGCCCCAGCCCCAGAGACTCAGCTCTCTGCACCCACAGACTCTCCCCAGCCCCCCAGCCCAGCAGGTCAAGGACCCCAGGCGGGGGCTCTCGGCAGCCCCTGCAGTGAGTCTCCCTCCCACTGTCAGTGTGCAGAGGGTCCCACGTGCTCCGGGACCGCGATTACATTTTCACAAAGAAATTGGAGAAACTACAGCAAACACAGCTCAGCTGTGGCGCTGAAGGGATTCCCTTCCTCTTTCTTCTTTTTGTCCTCTGCGAGTTCAGTTACTCCTGCCCTGGTCATGTGCAGCCCCGAGTCTGGCACTGGAGACGGGTTTGCTGTTTTGAGGGCGGAGGACGTGGCCCAGAAATGGTAGTAGAAGGGGAGCTCTTGATGTGGACAGCTCCCCTGCTGGGTGTCCAGCCTGCCCAGTTGCCCTGCCCGGAGGGAGGAACAGAGAGGAAGATGCCAAGGCTGGCTGGAGCAGGCGCCAGGTGTGCCTGCAGCAGCTCTGGGGGTGGGGAGCAACCATGCGGGGGGTGCAGGTGCCGCAGTCACCTTCCAGGTGGCCCAGTGGCTACCCGTCTTCACTATCCCGGGACGTGCCAGGCCTCCTGGCACTTTCCCCGGTGGTGAAGCAGAACTTCTGAGGCAGCCCTCTGCTATGGCTGCCCCTATTGTGGCCGTCAAGCTCAGCCTGGCTGCAGGCGGGGGCCGGCGTCTCCCGGGTCCTATCTCCTGGGTTGTGTTGTGAATCCGCAGACTGAGGGGCTGTGTGGTGTGGGTGGCGTGTGGTTTGCTGAGGAGCCTTGCTTTGGAGGTCTGGCCTTATTAGAAAACGTTACTTTATTATCTCACATTTCCAGAGGCCAGGAATTCAGAACAAGTCTCATGGCTTTAAAATCTAGATGTCAGCAAGGCTGGTTCCCTCTGGAGGCTCAAAGGGAGAATCTCGTCCCTGTCTCTCCAGGCTTCGGGGGCTCCAGGTGGCCCTGGTGTGGCTGCACCCCTCCATCTCTGCCTCTGTCTGCGCGGTCTCCTCCTCTGCGTTGCCAAATCTGCCCCTGCTTCCTCTTAAAAGGATTCCCGTGATTGCATGCAGGGTCCACCCCATCCAAGAGCCACTCCCTAGCTCCAGTCCTTGACTTAATCACACCGGCAGGGGCCATGTGAAGTCACACATTCACAGGCCCCAGCCACCAGGATGTGAATCTTTGAGATGTCAGCCTATCAGCTATTACACTAGGGTGGCGTGACCAACTCATCCAGTCTGCCTGGGGCCTTCCCGGCATTGGCATTCAAAGTCCCATGCCCTGGGAAACCCCTCAGTCCCAAGCAAAGGGATGGGGAGCCGCCCTCCTCTGTGGCAGCCTCACCTTAGCAGCTCATGTCTCCAGGGCACCTGCAGCACCAGGATGAAGCCTGACTCTCAACAGTCAGTCAGGCAACCCTGGGAGGTAATGCGTGCATGGAGAAGCCTGTGCTGTGCCAGCTGCCGGCCACCCCTCCCAGCTTTCTCAGCCCTTCCTGCTGAATGAGTCTCACTCTCTGTGTGGGGGCCCAGGGGGCCGGTGACACCTAGAGGGTGGCAGGACCCAGGCTGGCACGAGGTCTGAGGCACACCCACCTCCAGCTCAGGGCAGGCTGATAACTGCTCCTCCCTCTCCCCAGCAGGTCTAATACCTTGGCCTCAGCAGAGACCTGTGCCTGCAGTTGCTGACATTTAGCCCCTAAATGAATGAGAAGCTGTGTTATGTGTGTTATGCTGTGGCCTGAGGGCTCTGTGGTGTGGGCGGGGTGTGGTTTGCTGAGGAACCTTGCTTTGGAGGGCTGGCATTACTAGACTCCTCTGGTAGGCTGGGATGGCCTGAGAGGAAAGGGGGCTGTACTGGGTTCTGGGCCCAGCACTGTGGCTCGGTTGTTTTCAGGCGGGCTGGTGTGGACAGATCTCCTCTAGGTGCAGCCCGCTGGCCCATGGACCAACTTGGTAGGAAATTGATGCTTATGCAGCAGTGTGCATGTGTGTCGGCATGGGGGTTGTAAACACGGAGTTCAGAGCTGTTACCTGGGTGCCCAGGCTGCAGGAGGACATGGGTGGGCAGTAGCTGAGGGTGGTGCAGGGATAGACAAGTCTTGTATCAGCCTGCTTGCCACCAGCTGCTAAACGGCCATGCCCCACCACTCCCTGGGCTTCCCTTTCTCTGTCTGCAATGTGAAAGGCTAGCACCACGTGGTTTCTAAGCTCCGTCCAACCTAAAGTCTGTGATGCTGCCAACTCACCACAGTTATATTAAAGTGGTAAAGTGGGTTAGATAGAAATGAGTACTTTTATATTATTTAAGATCCATGGGCAGAGTCTCCTACTACAGCTTCCAGACTCACTCTTCTGAGTTAAGCAACTAGAAAACTGGGCAAAAAAGTATGAAACGACTGTTCTCAGACATTGGAGAGTGAGCGCTGTCTTAGTCCATTTTTGTTGCTATAAAGGAATACCTACTGCTCGGTAATTTATAAGAAAAAGAGCTTTATTGCCTCATGGTTCTGCAGGCTGGACAGAAGCATGGTGCCAGCATCTGCTCAACTTCTGGTGAGGACCTCAGGCTGTGCCACCTTCCCCACTCACAGGGGAAGGTGAAGGGAAGCTGGTGTGTGCAGAGACCACATGGCAAGAGAAGAAGCAAGATGGGGGAGGTGCCAGGCCCTTTTCAACAAGCCCCTCTCATGAGAACTAACAGCAAGAGCTCGCTCCTCCCTGAGGGAGGGCATGATCTATGCATGAGGGGTCCACCTCCACCACCCAGCCACCTTCCATTAGGCCCCACCTCCAACCCTGGGAATCCAATTTCAATATGAGGTTGGGGGGAAAACATTCAAACCACAGCAAGTGCAGAACTGAGACACCCATTCAGAGGGAAACAAATAAAGTGACCCCTCTGAGGCCTGGACTTTCTGTGTGGAGACAATGTCCAGGAGGGCTGCTATGCTGAGGACTGGATTATGGAGTAATGGGCTGTGATGGGGAAGGAAGGCCTTAGTCAAGGTGTGGTGGACCTGCTTCCTTGGTACTGATTTGGAGATTCCTTTAGGATGGCTGGACATTTTTTCAGTTCTCCGTCCTTCCTTAAGGCTGACAGCTCTTTGTCTTCTTATGAGAGGAGGGATCCACACAGAGCCTGGTGGTCTCATTGGATTGAGGAGATAGAGATCAGAATTTTGGGAGGCTGAGATGGCTAGAATTTGCTGGCAGAATACCAGAGAAGAGGGAAATAGGCAGAAAAAGAGTGCCAGAATTCTGCATAGGGGTTCCCATAGGTCTGTGCCTGAATGTCAATTGTCCCACGCAAGGCGTGAAACTTCAAGGGCAATGCTGAAGAAATAACAATTATCAGAGAGCTGCAAGGTGAATGGCTTAGAACCATCTAAGTTTCCACCAGCCAGAATGGAGAGAAGTTATTGAAGACATGGGCATTCACTAGAGACTCAGAAGAGTTTTGCTTTAGTAGTGGGGCTTAACTCACCCAAGAGGAAAGGTGACTCTAGACTCACCCTCAAAAGCATCAAACTTCTCTCCAGGTGACTTAACTGCCTGCCAGAATGGAGCCCAACACTCTTTAAAGGCATGTAAGTGAATTCAGAACTCAACAATGTACAGTATTCAACACAATGTCCAGCATCCAATCAAAAATCACTAGACAAACAAGTAGGAAAGTAGGGCCTATCGACAGGAAAAAATTAGTTATTAATAATAGAGATAGGCCCAGAACTGACAGAGGTGATGGAAAAGGCAAACCAGGATGTTAAAACACTTGTTATAAATATGTTCCATATACTCAAGGACTTAAAGGAAAACATGAACAGAGCGAGGAGAGAAATAGGGGACACAGAAATTCCAAGTGGAATTTCTAGAAGTGGCAAATTGTGCCAATCTCTGAAGTGAAAAGTTCACTGGATGGGACAGTACACTGCAGAAAAACCAGTGAATTCACTTTGGTATTTAAAAGCAGGGGTTGGTAAACTGTGGCCTATGGGCCAAATCCAGCTTGTTGCCCATTTTTATAAATAAAGTTTTACTGGAATGCAGCCACACTCACTTGTTTACGTACTGTCTGTATTAGTCCATTTTCATGCTACTAATAAAGACATACCTGAAACTGGGTAATTTATAAAGAAAAAGAGGTTTAATGGACTCACAGTTCCACATGGCTAGGGAGGCCTCACAATAATGGGGGAAGGTGAAGGAGAAGCAAAGTTCTGTCTTACATGGCAGAAGACAAGAGAGAAAGCATGTGCAGGGGAGCTCCCATTTGTAAAACCATCATATCTTGTGAGACTTACTCACTATCATGAGACCAGCACTGGATAGACCTGCCCTCATGGTTCAATGGCCTCCCACCAGGTCCCTTCCACAACATGTGAGAATTATGGGAGCTAACATTTGAGATGTGGGTGGGGACACAGCCAAACCGTATTGCTGTCTATGACGGCTTTCACGTAACAACATCAGAGTTTAGTAGTTGCAACAGATTGCATGGTGCACCAAGGCTGAAATATTTACTAGCCAGCCTATTGCAGAAAAAGTTTGCTGAGCCCTGGTTTAAAGTATTTACCTTGTGATCCCTTTATACTACAAATTGCAGAGCAAGCCCTTTATCAAAGATAATGTACACATTAATTTTTAGCCAGTTAGGTCAGAATTATTCCAGATCAGTAGAACATGAATTCCCAGGAATGGGCATCATAACCTCAGGTTACAGTTTGAGCATGGTGGAAATTGGAAAGAAAATGCTTGCACAAGGGCAGGTCATTCCTACCCTGCTCTCAACTCCCTCCTCCACAGCCCTGCCTCACCCACTCTGTGTTGCCCTGAGTACCAGGGTCTTTGTTCTGCTCACTTTTAGGAGGTCTCTCTCCTTCTCCCACTAGAACATGAGCTCCCCACTGGAGGGAGAACTGTCTGCCTCATCCTTTGCCCCATGGGCAGCAAAGGCTCAGCCTTGGGTCACAGACCAGATGCAGGAATGAGGCCCAGATATGGAAGGACCGGCTGTGAGTTCTGGGTCACGTCCCAGCACACTGGCTGGCTTTGGGAGGGATAACTTCGCCTTTCTATTCAACAGCAGTGAATTTCCCCCTCCTTTCTTCACCCTCTCTTTTTTTCAGTTTTTTTAGCTGACATCTATAATTTGGAAAGCCATAAAAATGAATATAGATGAAATATTAGAGGGCGGCAGCCTGAGAAAAGCATGGACAAAGAGGCTCTCACCGCCTTCAATAGGTCTTAAAACCGCTTTCATCTCCACGCTGCCTCAGCCCAGTGAAATTGATTCATTGACCAAATTGGCCATTTAAAATTCAAAAGCCTAAGCTCGCTCGGTGCAGCTCCCTCCTCTCCAGATTTATGGGGCCGCAGAGAGGCACCCGGGGTGTCTCTAGTTTCTTTTTTAAGGATGATCAACAGTGAGGCAACAGGCCCCTTCTTCCTGGAGAGTACACACTTGCCCACAGCCACAGTCTGAAGCGGGCGGCCGTGCCAGGCACTGGCTCTCGGGACCACAGAGGGCAGCTTTGCAGGTGCCGTCCTGGGAGCCCTGTCTGTGGGGATGACCTCCCCTCTGACCTCCTGTCCTGGTCAGTTGGAAGGACAAGGACTGGCAGTGCTTCCCAGGAAGGAAAGAGGTGGAAAGCGGCCTGGGATCCCAGTCGGTCACAGCAGCTGCCTGAGCCAGGGCTGCTATACCTGGCCCCTGGGAGTCTGAGAGTGCCCAACCTCTGCTTCTGAACTCACCTTGCTGTCCTGGGCAGAGCCACAGCACTGGGCAGGCCTGCAGGCTTGTCCCAGAGGTGACACAGGGCTAAGCAGGAACCTCCTGTGCAAAAGAATTTTATGGCAACCAGAGGATGCAAGGGTGGGGCCATCTGAGAAGGAAGTGGAGGTGAGCCTTTCCTCCCCAGGTGGCAGGCAATGGTGAGTGATCAGTCCCCAGGTGGAGTTACACTGCAGGGAACTCCTTCCCTGGTCACCTGGGCTCTGGCCACCTCTTCTAGGTAAACAAGCTGCCCCAGCAGAAGTCTGCAGTCTAGAACCATGAGACTTCTTCAGGCTGCAAGAGGACAACTGGGAGGGGACATGGGAAAAGGGGACTGGAAAGTGAACAGGTACTCCAGAGCTCCTGTTCTAGAACATTAGGGCATCTGCCAGCCCAGAATGAAGCTCCCAGGGGACCTCAGGTGGCAACAAAAATGGGGGTGAGAAAGGTCTGGAAATGTAGCACAGCCAGGGTTCAGTCTGAGACAAGGATTTATAGCTCAGCCTGAGATCAAGATTCAGGCTTAGTATGAGATCAGGATTCAGGGCTCAGTCTGAAATCAGTATTGGGCTCACTCTGAGATCAGGATTTGGGTTTTGATATGGTTTCGCTCTGTGTCCCCACCCAAATCTCATCTCGAATTGTAATCCCCATGTGTTGAGGGAGGGAGGTGATTGAATCATGGGGCGGTTCCCCCACGCTGTTCTTATGATAGTGAGTGAGTTCTCATGAGATCTGATGCTTTTATAAGTGTCTGGAAGTTCCTCCTTCGCTCTTCTCTCTCCTGCCACCTTGTGAAGAAGGCACTTGCTTCCCCTTCGCCCTCCTCCATCATCGTAGGTTTCCTGAGCGCTCCCCACAAGCCATGTGGACCTGTGAGTCAATTAAACCTCTTTCCTTTATAAATTACCCAGTCTCAGGGAAGTTCTTTATAGCAGTGTGAAAATGGACTAATACAGGCTTAGTCTAAAATCAGGATTCAGGCTTAGTCTGAGATAAAGATTCAGACTCAGTTTGAGATCAGTATTCAGGCTCAGTGTGAGACCAGGGTCAGAGCTCAATCTGAGGCAGAATTTTTAGGGCTTAGTCTGAAATCAGGATTCAGGCTCAGTCTGAGATCAGGATTTGGACTCAGTCTGAGTGATACCAGTGTTCAGTCTGGGAACAGGATTCAGGCTCTGTCTGACCTCAGGATTCAGGCTCAGCCTGAGACCAGGGCCCGCCCTTAGTTAATTAGGAGGTCTCAGTTTCAATCTGTGCACAGGATAGCTTTCCTCAGTGTGAAGTGACCTGGCTGTCATTTAATTCAGGAACCCCTGCCTCTGTCCTCCTAGAATGACTTGTCCTTCCCGAGCTGGCTACTCCGAGCTCTGCTACTGTTCCTCCTGCCAGGTCACTCTTCCTGGGCAGGATGGAGGCAACCCATAGGTCATCACCTCCTTCTCTCAGCACACCCTGCCCATAGTCTGCCTGAACACTGGTCCCCTGTGGGCCCTGCATCCAGCATGGCTGGCACACAGCAGACTCCCTGGGTGTCCACTGAGCACCCTGGGTCCTTGGGGACCATGGGTCAGGTGAGGGGCTTGCTTGAGAGAAGTGAGACAAGGAGGGAGGGCAGCCACGAAGGGCTCCCTGGGGGAGGGGGTCCGCCTGAGAGCTCGGGAGCTGGGACATCCAGCTGCACATCCCAGGGCTCCCTATTCCAGGCCAACTCCCGAGGGGGCTAACTTCCTGGCACTTCTGTCCTGTGGCAGAGACAGCAGGAGGTCCCAGGGCATTTGGCAAAAAGCTGTGGGCACTGAAAGTCAGAGGTACGCCCTGTGTACTGAGATACGGGGGGTGGCTACAAGCCCTAGGCCCTCGTCCTCCCGAGTCCCTCATCTCCAGGACAGCAGAAGGTCAGTCCACTACTGGCCACGTCCCCAACTGAGGCCCGCCACGAGGAGGCTGGCTGCTCCCCCTCCAGTGCTCACTCTGGGTAGAGTCGGGAGGCCCCCAGCCCCAGCCCCCTGCAAAGCCCCAAGTCTCCATTTAATTACTCGATGTTATTTTGTAACTTTAATTACACAGTAAGTGACATACTAAAAAACCATCGTTAAAATTTAAGCCTTTGTAATAACACCATTTTATTACATTTTGATGACTTTCTAACTATGATATTTTATTATTCGTTCCATGTTATTTTATGAAGGCACAGTGAGATTTTTAATATCTAATTACGGCACGGAGTGATCATGAAACACGTCTCATGCAGAAGCTTGCTAAACCCGGGTCCCAGGAGCACCTGGTGGTCAGGGAGGAGGAGCCCGCCTTGTCTACAGTCAGGAGGGACCCGCGAGGCTGCGGGGGCAGGAGTTCTGCTGTGCACTCTCAAAGGAGCATGGAGACGGATGGGAATTCTGCAGCCAGACTCACCACGTCAGTCAGAGATGTTTCTGCAAGACGAGCTGGACATGCCTAAGGTCCTGGGGCTCCCGGGTGGTGGCCCTGGGTGGCCCAGCCTCTCAGGCCACTGCCCCAGAGAGGCCCCACCTCTGCTGGACCGCTCCCTGCAGGGGCGACTGTCCTCCAGCAGTGACTCCAAACCCACAGGAAGGCTTCTGGGCTGGGCCTCGACTTCAGGATGTCCCACATGAGGGGCTAGGCGGAGTCTCTCCTCCCGGACTTTAACACCTGGGGGACCCCAGGGGCTTCTGGTCTCCTAGAAGCCACAACTCAGACTAGGGAGGGGTCAACCGCCCCGCCTGAGGCCACCCTTCAAGTCACTGGTGGCCCCAGGAGGACCCAGGTCTCACACCCCGGCCCCCAGCTGACTGAGTGGCTATAGACCTACCTTATGGGCGAGAGGCAGGCGGGTTGGGGAGATCGGCAGGGGGCCTCGGGGGGCAGGAGGGGAGCAAGATGGGACCCGATGGTCCACTCCATGGGAACTTCCCACCCTCCACCTTCTCCAGACGCTGCTCAGGCGATTCTCGAGGAGGGTCCCACACGGGGTGCCCGCCTGCTCAGCATGCCTCCCTCCAGCCTGTCTTGTCTCAGGGACTGGCCTGAGAACTACTCGGAGGCAGAGGAAGGCCCCGGGCCCCTAGGGAGGAGGAATTCTGAAAAGCTTGTTGCTGAAGAGGTCTTCTCCCCTGCGCGGCCCCTGCGCTGCCCGGGAGGTCCTGCTCCTGTGAGCCTCGGCTGCTGGCAGATCACCCGGCTCCCTCTGGTGCAGCGACCCCACAGGGGCCTCCTCTCTGCCTGTTCTTGGGCCTGGCCGCAGATCTTAGAAGCCTGGAATGGGTAGATGCCAGGTTTGGAGCACCCTGGCCCCTCCCAGCCCCTGGGCCTCCCGCCTGGCACTCACGTTTCTCTGATTCCTGCTGGGCCTGGGTCCTGCTCTGGGTCCAGGCCACTGAGGGGCGGCTCTACCCACTGCCGCACCTGTCACGCGCCAGTGCCCTAAATGTGGTATCCGGACATAGCCTCCCTCAGGGCTGAGTTTTTGCCATCCTGAGGGGTGAGAAGTAGCATCTCACGGAGCCCTCTTGCCTCCCATGGCTGACCCACGAGACCCTAGCTCCAGGGGCCAGGGAGGACGCACCGGCAGACTGGAAGCCCCAGCTGGCAGGGCCCAGGCAGCGTGGGTGGGGGCCTGGGGCCACTCCACAAGTCCAGGCAGTGTCTAGTTGAGAACCCAGAACATCCCAAGGCAGGCAAGCTGGCAGATCCTTGGCTACCGCCCCCCACATCAGCATCACCAACATGGAGCACTCTTTGCCCTGTGTGGGACAGTAGTCCACGCAGCAGTCCCTGGCCCTCTGAGAAGTGCTGCCCAGGGTGCAAAGAGGTTCCACTCCAGCCAGGATGAAGGGATGGTGCCTTGGCTGTGGCCCTGTCAGCTCCAGAGGGCACCCAGGGCAGAGGCTCGCGGGGCGAGCCGGGGGAGAGACACTCATGAACTTGAGCACTAGGCGGACAGCGGGACATCCGGGGAGTCCATGTCATCTCCGGGGGAATGGAGTGTGGCTGTGTTTATTTCCACAGCTGGGCCTGGGGCCTCTCGGGAACAATCTTCTCTGCGGGAATGAAGTGCCAGCCGCACGGGGCTCCCTCCTTCCAGTCCCATGATTGAGTAGCTTTGCTCAAGCCCTGGCAGGATTTGATCATCCTAGAAATGAGATCGCTCGCTCGTCCCACTCGGAGGAAGCTCAATTAATGGCGTCAGGCGCGGTCAGCCCTTCATCAGTGCGGGACGGCGGCACCCCTGAGCCACACAGCAGTGCCAGGCCTGCAGTCCTGACAAGGGGATGTAAGACCCCAGGCCCGAGGGACCATGGACAGCCCTCTGACAGGTGATTCAGTGTGGGACCACCGCAAAACCACGCAGGCTGGGCAGGCTGGGCAGGCTGGGCAGGCTGGGCAGGCTGGGCACCTCCAACCTTTTCCCATTTGCCTAAATGTAAGTGAACATAAAGTTGAAAAAATCTGAAAGAGAATGTCTGGGGTGATTCTGGCACCATGCCTCAGGGGTTTCTTTCTGTCTGGGGGGACCCCAAAGCCTGAAAAGGCTGCCGCCTCCATGACATGGGGCTTTTTAACCAAGAGCAGGCAGGAGGTTCACAGGCAGGGGCCATGGCTGTCCTGGGGCTCATGCAGAAAGGCAGGACCTGCCTTGTTCCAGGGTCCCCAGGCCTGTCCCTACCTGCATCTTCCAGCACAATCTGCCGCCCAGGAGCCCCTGACAGGAGCCTGGGGCCTTGGAGTCCCTCCAATCCTACGCTAGAGAGACCCTGTGCTCTAGGCCAGGAGGGCAGGGCCATTGGTGTGGGGGCTCAGCCCCTCTGCACTCCCGAGAGAGCAGCTGGGGCTGCGGCCGTTTCCGCTGCCAGTGACATCTCCTAGCCCCCTCCCCTCCCCTGCAGCACCACCTCCCTCCCCTTCACAGGAGAAGGCTGCAGGAGTCAGAGCTGTGGCAGCTGGATATGCAGCCACCCACTACTGTCCCCAGACCTGCTCCTGGTGAGGCACGGGCTGTGAGCAGGTGGTCAGGGCGGGCTCTGGCAGGGAGGGTTCCCTGGGGAAGGGCTGCAGAGGGGCCAGCCAAGGCCTGTTGAGGAGACAGTTCCCATGAGAAGTCTTAGCCGCCTTTTCAAGGCATCGGGCACAGCGGTAAGAAAACTTTCATTTAAAGTGCCTCAGCCTCAGTTTCCTCCTCTGTAAGATGTTGATTCTACTGTTTCATACCTCCCAGGCTTTTGGTCAATGCAGAATTCAAAGGTTTTTAGTATATCTGCAGAGCTTCACCATCAAACCATTACCATCATCTGATGTTAGAACCTTGTCACCACCCACAAAAGAAACCCCCATATCCATCGCGGCCACTTCCCATCCACCCCACCCCCAGCCCCCGGCGACCACGAAGCTACTTTCTGTCTTCAACAGGTTTGCCTGTTCTGGGCCTGTTCTGTTTGCTTGTTCAGGACCATTTGCTATGTGGCATTTGTGACTGGCTGCCTTCACCCAGCGCAGTGTGTGCTTGGCCCCTGTTAGCGTGTGGTCAGTGCCTCGCTCTGCTGGTTGCCAAATCACACTGAGGGCCTCCCAGGTTCCTGCCGGGTTCCGCCCGGTGGCTGCACCCTTCTATATTCCCACCAGCAGCAGGTGAGGCTCCAGTTCCTCCATGTCCTCGCCAACACTCGCTATTTTCAGAGAGCAGCTGGGGCTGTGGCCATCTTCTGCCTCCGGGATCCCATGCTTGTGTCACCTGCATTTCCAGCACAGCCTGCGGGCCCAGCAGCCCTAATGGGAGTCCAGGGCCTTGGAGTCCCTCCTGTGACCCTTCCTTCCTTCCTTTCCTCCCTCCCTCCCTCCCTCCTTCCTTCCTTCCTTCCTTCCTTCCTTCCTTCCTTCCTTCCTTCCTTCCCTCCTTCCATCCCTCCCTCTCTCTCTCCCTGCTTGCTTCCTTCCTTCCCTCCTTCCTTCTTTCTTTCCTTCCTTCCTTCTTTCCTTCCCTCCCTCTTTCCTTCTTTCCCTCTTCCCTCCCTCCCTCTTTCCATCCCTCCTTCCCTCCTTCCATCCCTCCTTCCCTTCTTCCTACCTTCCTTGCCTCCTCCCTCCCTCCTTCCTTCCTTCATGCCCTCCCTCCCTCCTTCCCTCCCTCCCTCTTTCCTTCCCACCCTCCTGCCCTCCTTCCTTCCTGCCCTTTCTCCTTCCTTCTTCCCTCCCTCCCTCCTTCTTCCTTCCTTCCTTGCTTCCTTCCTTCTCTCCCTCCCTCCTTCCTTCTTTCCCTCCTCCCTCCCTCCTTCCACCCCTCCTTCCCTCCTCCCTCCCTCTCTTCCTCCTCTCTTCCTTCCCAGCCTCTCTCCCTTCTTCTCCCCCTCCCTGTTTCCCTCCCTCCCTCCTTCCTTCCCCTCTTCCTTCCTTCTTTCCTTTCTTCTCTCCCTCCCTCTCTCCTTTCTTCCCTCCTTCTCCTCCTTCCCCTTCTCCTCCTCTTCACCATCCTGAGGGGTGAGAAGTGGCGTTGCTGTGGTTTTGGTGGGTTCTCTAGTGACTAATGGTGTTGAATCTTTTCATGTGCTTGCTGGCCATTTGTAGGTCTTCTTCAGAGAAATGTCTTTGCAACTCTTATGCCCAGTGCCTGGCTGGGTTGTTTGTCTTTTTGCTGCTGACGTGTAGCTCCTAGGAGTTTTGTGGACTTGAATAAGGGGCTAAGAGAGGGCTCACAGCAAGGGCTCAAACTCCGGGCTCTGGAGGCACAAGCTGTGTGTGAGGGGACCGTCTTGACCTCGCTGGAAGGCATGGAGCCAGGGGCCCTGTTCTCTCTTGGATCCACTAACGCCAGTTCCTCTCTCATCCCCTCCTCTGTCCCTGGCTCCCTGGAGCCCCAGGTCCCTGAGTGCAGGAAGCAGCTCCTCTGTCTCCAGGCTTTCTGAGGTTTGTCCACGCTTTGCAGAAAAGGCAGGGCCGGGCCCGACTCCAGGGTGGCCACTGACCAGGCGTGTGACTCTCATCACTGGGAGAGGGGTTGACACCTCCGGTAGCATCGTTTGCCTGACAGTCTGAGAGTCGCCTCAGACCCCAGGCTCTCCGCAGAGGCAGAGAACACAAATCAACCTAGAGATAGTTACCTGCAAAGCCACCGAGGGGGAAGTCCACGGGCTGATGAATGCTGAAACGGCTTCCAGACGTGCCCAACGCCAGAGAGGAGGGCTGGGCCTCGGCTTGCCCCCAGCCACCGACACTGGTCGGGTTCTGTGCCTGGGTGCCCAGGCGTGTTTGGACTGACAGCTTTCCTATTCCCAGGTCCTGGGAGAGGTGGGTGGGAGCTAGCTGGGTGGAGAGGGCGTATCTCCAATCCTCGGGTGGGAGAGGCCTGGGGAAGGCCCCATGGGGGGTCAGGCTGCTTTTGGCATCCTCCCTGCCCCAGCTGCTCTCACAGCCCCTTCTGATGTCATCCACGGCCAGGAAGCCCCTTCCTGTGCCCTCACCAGGAAACCCGGGTGCGGGGTAGGGGGGCATGCTGCGGCCTTCTTGCAGCCGGGGCCAGGGAGACCCACCCAGGGTCACACAGTCACCAGAGGCAGAGTTCCAGCCCTGTGGTTCCCACAGCCAGGGGTGGCCGCTCAGCCCTGACTGTTGCTTGGACTGACCCCCCACTGCCTTTCCGGCCTGTCCCCTGTGCAGGTGCTGGGGGCCTCCCACACCCGTCTTCACAACAACCCTATTAGGTAGTGATTCCCACCACCACTTCACATCTGAGAAAACCAGGCACAGAGATGTCACGTACCTGCCTGAGGTCACACAGCGTGTGCCTCCAGAGCCCAGAGAGGTCACGTACCTGACTGAGGTCACACAGTGTGTGCCTCCAGAGCCCAGAGCTTGAGCCCTTGCTGTGAGCCCTCTCTTAGTTCCTCGGGGCTGCTGTGACTGTGTGCCACACACGCGGGGTTTATGAGTGACGGACATTTATTCCTCACAGCTCTGGAGGCTGCAAGCCCAAGATCATGGCATGGCCCCTGTGGGCCTTTTGGGAAACCCCGCCGGCCACCTTAGCATCATGGTCTCCTGTTCCGCGGCTGAGCCGACCTTCCTTACTGCATCTCTGGGGATCCCCTTGTTTTCAGTTTTAGGGTTATTTTTCCTGATTCTACAAACAACGCTGTGGGTAGAAACATCCTTGTTCTTACATCTTGGCAGACTAGTGCCTTCATTTCTACGGAAACAAGAGCAAGGACTCCGGAAGGGGCTGAGCTGGGTTCCTCCAGTTTCCTACGGTAAAGCCCCAACTCCGGTAAGCAAAATGTGCCTGAGTTTGGAGATGGGGTCTCTAAGGAGGTAATAAATTAAAATGAGCTCATTAGGGTGGACCCTAATGACTAGTTTCCTTATAAGAACAGGAAATTAGGACACATGTGCGTGCGCGCGCACACACACACACACACACACACACACACGAACAACCATGTGAGGACCCAGGGAAAAGACCACGCCACATGCCCAGGAGGGAGGCCCAGGAGAAAGCAGCCCTGCCACCACCTTGACCTCGGACCTTCAGCCGCCGAGAGTGTGAGAATCCCTTTTCTTCCCGTGAAGGGCACCATGTGTGCTGCTGTGCTGTGGCTGCCCAAACAGATACTACAGATTGGGATTTGGAGGTTAAAAAGCATGGATGGTGTTTCTTTGAACTGACATTTCTAGATAACTTTCCAAAAATGCTGCCGATTGTCCACTTCCCAGCAGTAGAGACGCACACTCTCTCTTCTTCGCATCCTCTCCTGCAATCGGTCCTGCTGCCCTTTCAATTTGCTGGTCAGGTGGGTTTTAAGTGACAGCTCCTTGTGGCTTTAACTTGCATGTCACCAATTATTGGTAGTTTTGAACATTTCTTATATGATGTTAGCCATTTGGATTTACTCTTTTGTGAATGTGTATTGTTTTGACCCTTTTCCTATTGGATTTTTTTCTCCTATCAATTAGTAAGCACTTTTCATATCTTACAGATAACAGCTTTCTCACTGTTGTTTTCATCATAAATCACTTTTTGTTTTTGTTTTTCTTTTTTCTTTTTTTTTTCTGAGATGGAGTTTCACTCTTGTTGCCCAGGCTGGAGTGCAGTGGTCTGATCTCAGCTCACTGCAACCTCCACCTCCCGGGTTCAAGCGATTCTCCTCCCTCAGCCTCCCAAGTAGCTGGGATTACAGGAACATGCCACCACGCTCAGCTAGTTTTGTATTTTTAGTAAGACAGGGTTTCACCATGCTGGCCAGGCTGGTTTTGAACTCCTGACCTCAGGTGATCCACCTGCCTTGGCCTCCCAAATTGCTGGGATTCCAGGCGTGAGCCACTGCATCTGGCCCACTTTTTGTTTTTCTAAACTTATACTTTGTCTGTTGATTTGGTTTTAGGTATCTATTCATAGATGAGTTTTAAATTGTTTTATAGTCCATCATATTTATACTTTCTTCTAAGAATTTCTGAGTTTTCAGTCTTGCTTAATGAGGAATCCTTACCCTAGCTGGCATGGTCTTCCAGATTTTCTTGCAGTATTTTTATTTTATTTTTACTTTCTTTTATATTTAAGTCTTTAATCCACTTAGAATTTAGTTTTGATTAAGATGAAGGAGTGGATCCACTTTTATTTTCTTCTAGATGGCAGCTGGGTGTGCTAGTCCATTAATTAAATGATGCTTCTGTTTACCCTGAAACAAATGAAGCTTGGTCTTATCTTCTTGCTTATCCTGAGGTCATTTTCTGGTTTTCTGACCCAACTCGTGGCGTGTTGTCAGTGTGTGTACAGTGGCAGGGTTGTCTCATCTTGCACGAGTATTTATCCTCCCATAAAAATGTCTACATAATTCTACCCAACAAGACCACACCAAAACCCCTAAAACTCTGTTGGGAATCTAATGAAATGGCATTTGACTAAAAGATAAATTTCAAGAGAATTGACATTTTTAAATTGAAAGTTCTTATCCAGAAAAATGTGTCTGCTTTGTGTCTTTAAATAAGATTTTATCATTTTTTTATCCCATAGGGATTGTATCAGTCAGGTTCTGACCTGGAAACCAGAAATCACTCTAGATCTTTTAAGCAGAGGGAATTTAATGCAGGGAGCTGGTTGTAGGGGTTACTTTGTATGGTGGTGAGGTCACTTCTACCCCAGGGCTGGGCCTGGAGGGTCAGTGTGGAGCATGCTCTTATCATATTGAGACTCTCAGCCCCATTTGGGACCATGGAGAAAGGAGCTTTCAGGTGGGAGCCCACAGCCACCGAGGAGACCCAGCTGCAGCTGGAGGTGCCACTGGAACAGAGAGAGGGAGAGAAGGGCCTCACGTGTCCTTTCATCCCACCCTTCAATCTTGGGTCAGCACCGCCCATTGGCCAAATCTACTGGAAGACAGAAGGGAAGGGAGCCTGGAGTATGGAGCGGGCAGGACAGGAAATGGCTCCGAGCAGCAGTGGGCAGATGCTGGGCACACAGTTCCCAAGTCCTGTTCCATTGCTCCCTAAGTAGCTCACGGTTTTGTCACTGTTGTGGACAGACTGATTCTTCCCCTTTCCGTTTCTAGATGCCTATCATTTGAAAAGAGATAATGCATTGGTTTCTGCATAATTTTATGACATCATCTCATCCTATCACATTTTCTTTTTAATTCTAATTTTTAAATACAATATCTGGGTTGTGAAAACTAATAGCTATATCTTTTCCAACGCTTAAAGTATGTGTTTCATTTTCTTGGCCATTTGCATCTGCTTGAAGCCTCAGTGCAATATCAAATAAAAATGGTGGACCTCCCTTGCTAAGTTCTGGTTTTAATTGTATTAGTTTGGTGTTTCATGATTTGGATATTATCTGTGTCAGGTGGCCAAGTCATCCCTAAAGGGAGCGTGGCAGTGGCAGTGAGGTCAGCAGGTTTCACTTCCATAGACCTGGCTGCCAAGAAGACAGAGCAGCCAAGAGGATTCAAGACAGTTCATTACTCACACAGACAGCAAAGCCACAACCAGTGCAGTGTCAGGTCCTGGTGCCCCTAATCCACAGGTCGACTGAAACAGAAAGGTCTGGTGATCGTCGGCTTGAGTGTTGGGTCACTCTGCCATTGAGGAGTCCTCTCTAAACTATGGCCAAGCATTTGTACAGACTATACAGAAGCCAGCAGCTCCACATGACAGGGGAGTGGTGAGGAAGAGCTTTGTGCTCAACGGAAACCGGGGAGATGGATGAGCGACCCTTGGAGGCATTCTCACACGGATCAGGGGCTGCCCTTGCTGACTCCTCCCCAGCCTAATCTCCCCTTGCTTCAGGAGGAGTCATTCCCAGGACTCAGCTTAGACTGTGGCCAAGCCTCCTCTAGGAGGCCTGTAAGGAGATGTGCAACATGGTAGGGGCACCATGGGAGAGCCATTCCCCTACAAATAGCGGCTGGGATTTGAGATCTCTTTTTTAATAGTTTCTTTTTAGTATTACTTTTCTCCAGATTTTTTTGCAGGACCGATTGCTGAGTTTCCTCAAATGCTTTTTCGGTGTCTATTGATGGGATCATATGGTTGATGGATATACTAAATTTTGTAGCTAGTTTCTTGGTATTGAACTACCCTTGCATTCCTGAAAACCAATACATAATACCTGGTCATAGCAGATTTTTAGAAATATATTTCTGGGTTCTATTTTCTAATATTTTATTCAGATTCTTTTTACATATATATTGTGAGTCAGTTTATAGTTATCTTTTTCTGTTCTCTTTTAATTATACAATTAAAGTTTCACTTATACAATTAAAATTTCCCATCTTTTCCCATGTCCCAGAATGTTCAAAATAACATTGAAATTATTTGTATTATTATATAGAGAAAGCCAGCTTTGACCTGTTTAAACCTGGTGACTTTTTTTAAAAAAAGAAACAGTTTCATCAAGATATAATTTGCATACCATATGAGTCACCTAAAGTGTACAAATTGATGTGTTTTAGTACATTCACCATTCACAGGGTTGTGCAACCACCATCATAATCTAACTTTAGAACATTTTTGTTTCTCATAAAAGAAACCCTTTATCCATTAACAGTCATTCATATTCCTCTCTGCTCACTTCCCAGCTCTAAGAAAATTCTAATCCATTTTCTGTCTCTATGGATTGGCCTGTTTTAGACACTTTATTACAAATGCAATCCTATAATATGTGGTTCTTTGTTACCGACTTCTTGCACTTAGCATGTTTTCAAGGTTCATCACTATCAACATTTTGTGGAATTTATCAGTATTTCATTTCCTTTTCATTGCCAAATAATATTTCATTGTACTGATAGAATGCATTTTATTTATTCATTTATTGGTTGATGAATATTTGAGTTATTTCAATTTTTGTCTATTACGAATAGTGCTGCTATGAAAATTTGCATATAAAAATTGTGGACATGTGTTTTCATTTATTTTGGGTATATACACTTAAGAGTGGAATTACCAGGTCATATGGTAAATCTATGTTTAACATTATAAGAAATTGCCAACCTGTTTCCAAAGCAGCTACAGCATGTTGCAACCCCATCAGCTTCCAGTTCCTTCATATCCTCGTCTGCAGCTGTCATTGTCTGTCTTCTTGATCCTAGACGTCCTCAGGATGTGGGGTAGAATCTGGTTGTGGTTTTGGTTTCTACCTCCCTGATGAATAAAGATATTGAACAGCTTTTCACGTGCTTATTGGCCTTTTGTATATTTACTTTGAAGGAATGTCTATTTAAGTCCTTTGCCCCCTTTTAAATGGTATTTTTGTCTTTTTGTTATTGAGCTATAAGAATTTTTTTTTTTTTTTTTTGAGACGGAGTCTCGCTCTGTCTGTCACCCAGGCTGGAGTGCAGCCTGGCTCACTGCAAACTCCACCTCCTGGGTTCATGCCATTCTCCTGCCTCAGCATCCCGAGTAACTGGGACTGCAGGCACCCGCCACCACGCCCAGCTAATTTTTTGTATTTTTAGTAGAGACGGGGTTTCACCATGTTAGCCAGGATGGTCTCAATCTCCTGAACTCGTGATCCGCCCGCCTTGGCCTCCCAAAGTGCTGGGATTATAGGCATGAGCCACTGTGCCCGGCCAAGAATTTTTAAATATATAGTAGATATAAGGCCTCTAGCAGATATATGACTTGAAAATATTTTCTCCAATTCTATGGTGTTCTACTTTTGCTTTCTTGGTGGTATTATTTGTAGCATAAAAGTTTAAATTTTGATATGGCCCAGTTTATCTATTTTTGGTTGATGTTTCTGTTTGTGCTCTTGGTGTGCTATTTAAGAAACCATTGCCTAACCCAAGGTCATGAAGATTGACTTTTATGTTTTCTTCTAAGAGTTCTGTAGTTTTAACTCTTATCTCATAGACATTGAGGTTTACGATCTATTTTGAGTTTTAATTTTTGTGTATGGTATGAATTAGGGGTTATTCATTCTTTTGCATGTGGAAATATAGCTGTCCCAATGCCATTTATTGAAAAGACTCTTCTTTCCCCCACTTAACTGTCTCAGCACCTTGTTGAAAACCAATTGGCTATGAATGAAAAGGTTAATTTCTGGACTCCCAATTCTATTCTATTGATCTGTGTGTCTGTCTTCATGACAGTATCACATTGTCTCGATTACTGTCACTTTGTAGTAAGTTTTGAAATCAGGAAGTGTGAGTCTTTCAACTTTATTCTTTGTTTTCAATTTGTTTTCTTTGCCATTCTGAGTCCCTTGTGTTTCCAAATGAATTTTAGAGTCAGTTTGTCAATTTCTATAAAACAGTCAGTTGGGATTTTGATAGGGATTGAGATGACTCTGTAGGTTGATTTGGGCAGTACTGTCATTTTAACAATAATAAATCTTCTGACCCATGAACATGATATGTCTCCATTAATGTTGATTGTTTTCAGTTTATTTCAACAATGTTTATAGTTTTCAGTGTACAAGGTTTACACTTATTTTGTTTAATTTATACTTAAAGATTTTATGTTTTGAATGCAATTAGTAACAGATTTTTCTCCTAATTTTATTTTCAGAGTATTCTTTCGTAGTATATAGAAATACACTGATTTTTGTCTTAATATGTTAATCCTGTATCCTTCAAATTTGTTTAAGCCACTTATTAGCTCTAATGATTTTTATTTTGTGGATTCTTTGGGGTTTTTTAAACATACAAAATAATATTATTTGCAAACAGAGATAGTTTTACATCTTTTCTAATCTGAATGCTTTTATTTCATTTTCTTGCCTAATTGTCCTGGCTAGAAACTTCAGTACAATGTCAAATAGAAATGGCAACAGCAGACATCCTTGTCTTATTCCTGACTGTAGAGGGCAAGGCTTTCATTCTTCCACCATTAAGTATGAAGTTTGCTGTAAGTTTTTTTTTTTTTGAGACAAAGTCTCACTCTGTTGCCCAGGCTGGAGTGCAGTGGCATGATCTTGGCTCACTGCAACCTCTGTCTCTTGGGTTCAAGCAATTCTCCTGCCTCAGCCTCTTGAGTAGCTGGGATTACAGGCTTGTGCCACCACGCCCGGCTCATTTTTGTATTTTTAGTAAAGACAGGGTTTCACCATGTTGGTCAGGCTGGTCTCAAACTCCTGACCTCGTGTCCGCCCACCTCGGCCTCCCAAAGTGCTGGAATTACAGGTGTGAGCCACTGCATCTGGCCGTGTACATGCTTTTTATCGGACTGGGGAAGTTCCCTTTTATATCTGGTTTGTTAAATTTTTTATCACAAAAAATGTTGCTTGTTTAGTACTTTTTCTGCATTGAGATGATAATATGATTTTTGTCCTTTATTCTATTAATATGGTGTGTTACATTAATTGATTTTTTTAATGATAAATTAACCTTGTACTTCTGGGATAAATTCCACTTGGTCATGGTACATAATCCTTTTTATATGTTGCTGGATTTAGTTTGCTAGTATTTTTTTTTTAAAGAATTTTCCCATCTCTATTCAGAAGAGGATTCACCAGAGTTATTTTTTTTCCTTATGATATCTTTGTCAGGTTTTTGTATCAGGTTAATACTGAACTTATAGATTGATATTAATTCTATGAACATTTGGTAGAATTTGGCAGTGAATCTAGGACCTGGGCTTTCCTTAATGCGAAGTTTTGTTTTGTTTTTTTAATTCTAATCCTATCTCTTTACTTGTTATAAGTCTGTTAAGGTTTTCTATTTTATCTTGAACCAGTTTCAGTAGTTTTCTCTCTCCAGGAATTTGTCTATTTCATCTAAATTGTCTAATTTGGTGGCAGACAGTTGTTTATAGCATTCCCTTATTCTCCTTTTCATTTCTGTAAGATCAGACATCTTATAGATTTTAGTGGCTTGAGTCTTCTCTCTTTTTTTTCTTGGCCAGTATAGCTAAAGATTTGTCACTTTTGTTCATCTATTCAAAGAACCAAACCTGTGTTCAAAAGAACAAAACTTTAGGTTTTGTCGACTTTATTGTTTTATATTCTTTATTTCCTTTATTTCTACTCTAATCTTGGTTATTTCCTTCCTTTTGTTTGCTTTGGGTTTAGTTTACTCTTGCTTTTCTACTTTCTGAGATTGGAAGGCTAGGTAATTAATTTGAGATCTTTCTTCTTTTAAAATATAGATACAGGTATAAATTTTCTCTGAGCGTCTTTATTTGCTTATTTGCATCTCAAGTTTTGGTATGCTGTGTTTTCATTTTTATTCATCTAAATGAATCTTCCGATTTCCCTTGAAATTTCCTCTTTGACACATTAGTTATTTAGAGGTATATTATTTCCCACTATTTGTGAATTTTAAATTTGCTTTTATTATTGATTTCTAATTTAATTTCATTGTGGGTGGAGAAAATATTTTGTATCATTTAAATATTTTAAGTTTATGGGGATGTGCTTAATTGTCTAACACAAGACAATTGTGTTTAATGATCTATCTCAAGGAGCGTTCCACGTGTACTTGAGAAGAATGCATATTCTACAGCTGTTGGTGGCATATTCATTGGTGTTTTTTAGGTCTAGTTGTTTCCAGTGTTCAATTCTATTTCCGTATTGGTCTTCTGCTTTAGTTGCTCTATTCATTATTGAAAGTGGGATATTAAAGTCCCTAACTATTATTGTTGAATGATCTATTTCCCATTTCAGTTCTGTCAGTTTTATCTCCAATGTTTGTGGGCTCTCTTGCTAGTTGCATATATGTTTATAATTGTTTTAGCTTCTTTATGAATTAACCCTTTTATCATTGTAAGATGTTCCTCTTTATCTCTAGTAACCTTTTTACTTGTTTTTTTGTTTTTTTCTTTTTTGACGGAGTTTTGCTCTGTCGCCCAGGGTGGAGTGCGATGGTGCGAACTTGGCTCACTGCAACCTCCGCCTCCTGGGTTCAAGCAATTCTCCTGCCTCGGCCTCCCAAGTAGCTGGGGTTACAGGTGCCTGCCACCACACCTGGCTAATTTTTGTATTTTTAGTAGAGACAGGGTTTCACCATCTTGGCCAGGCTGGTCTCGAACTCCTGACCTTGTGATCCACCCACCTCGGCCTCCCAAAGTGCTGGGATTACAGGCGTGAGCCACCATGCCCAGACACTTGTTTGTTTTAAAGCGTATTTTGTCTGATCATAGGAAAGCCACTCCAAGTCTTTTATAATTGTTGTTTACATGGTGTATTCTTTTCCACCCTTTCTTTCAACCCATTTGTATCTTTGCTTGTAAAATGTGTCTCTTGTAAACAACATGTAATTTGATCTTTTTTTTTATTTTGTATTTTTTTATTTTTTGGACGGAGTCTCACTCTGTCACCCAGGCTGGAGTGCAGCAGTGTGATCTCAGCTCACTGCAACCTCCACCTCCCAGGTGCAAGTGATTCTCATGCCTCAGCCTCCCGAGTAGCTGGGATTACAGGCACGTGCCACCACGCCTGGCTAATTTTTTTGTATTTTTAGTAGAGATGGGGTTTCACCATGTTAGCCAGGATGGTCTTGATCTCCTGACCTCGTGATCTGCCCACCTCGGCCTCCCAGAGTGCTGAGATTACAGGCGTGAGCCACCCCACCCCGCCTCGATCTTTTAAAAATTCAGTCTGACAATCTCTGCCTTTTGATTGGATTGTTTAATTCTTTCATATTTAATGTTATGATTGATATAGTTAGATTGACATCTGACATTTTACCTTTTTCTATAGGTCTCTTATCATCTTTGTTACATGATTTATCCTTTATTGTTTTACTTTGTATTAAGTAGATATTTTCTAATGCAACACTAGATATCACTAATTTCTTAAATAATGTTTACATTGTATTTTGAGTTTTTTTTTTTTTTTTTTGCAGTTTCCCTAGGGCTTACAGTGTATATCTTAATATATCAGATTTATACTGACTTATTTCCAGAGAAATATAGCTTTACCCTTATATTCCTCCATTCTCTCCCCATTTTTTGATGCCATTTTGAGGCCCAACAATACACCTGTATATTACATATATTGTTTTATGTAATTACTTTTTAAGTAAGGCAAGAAAATAAAGGGAAAGTATGCAATTATGCAGTCTTTTGTAATTATCTATATAAGTACCTTTACTGACACTTTTGTTTATTTGTGTGGATTTGAATTACTATCTTGTGTTGCTTGCTTTCAGTCTGAAGAACTTCCTTTAGTATTTCTTGTAAGGCAGATTTGCTAGCAATAAATTATCTCAGTTTTTATCTGGGAATGTCTTTATTTCACCTTTATATTTCAAGATGGTTTTGCTGGAAATAAGATTTTTGGTTGACAGTGTTTTGTCTTTCAACACTGACTATTTCATTCCGCTGCCATCTGGCTTCTATTATTTCTAATGAATTTAGTTGTTAATCTTATTGGTGTCCCTTTGCATGAATTGCTTTTTTTTTTTCTCTTGCTGTGAGGAGTAAATGGGGACCTTTTTTCTCTTGCCCAAATACCTATCTAAGGGGACTGGGGAGTCATGCTCTACAAACCATAAAAATCTCATCAGACAGGTTTTTATAAAATGTGGCTTGCTTTCCACTTGACTTTGGTATAATATCACATGACAGATAGCAGACTCTAAAGGACATATTAATAAAAATATTTTACCACAAAATATATTTCTTTAATGTACTTTGCAATGGCTGCCACAGTGCCAACAGATTAAAATGGCCCTGCAAAGCCATCTTTTATGGGGACAATTTGCAGCTATAGAGAATCTCCATGAATATAACCAGGTATTTTCCCTTCCAGGAGGTTTTCTCAGATCCAGGAGAGATTAAGGGAGAGCCTGACACCTTTAAAGTCTGAAAAGAGTCACTCATCAGCTATCATATCTCTGAGAGCTGCCACCCATGAGGCTTCATCTACATAATAAGAACATGGTCTCCAAAACTCCCTAATCTTAACTCAGGCATTCTTTTCTACTGATTTCAAGTCCTTAGACAATAGCTTAACTCTCTCAACCAACTGGCAACTGAAGAATCCCCTAAACCCACCTATGACTTGTAAGCCCCCACTTTGAGATGTCCCGCCTGTTCCAGCCAAACCAATGTGCACCCTTCTCATATTGATTTATTATTTTACCTGCAATTCCTGTCTCCCTGAAATGTGTAAAACCAAACTATAACCCAACCACCTCAGGCACACTTTCTCAGGACCTCTTGAGATTGTGTAACCTGGGCCATAGTCAAACATATTGGCCCAGAGTAAACCTCTTTAAATATATTTTGGCAACATTTGGATTTTTCTGTCATCAACTGCTTTCAAAATTTTCTGTTTGTGTTTGTCTCTAACATTTTGATTATGATGTGTTTGGGTGTGTTTCTCTTTGTTTTTATCCCACTTGCCATATTGAGCTTCCTGGATGTGAGGCTAGTACTTTTCATCAGATTCGGAAAGTTTTTAGCCATTATTTCTTTGAGTACTTTTCCTGTCTCCTCCTATTTCTCCTCTCCTCTGGCACTCCCAATATGTGCAGGTCAGGGTGCTTAGTGGTGTTCCACATTTCACGGAAGCTCTGTTAGTTTTTTTCTATCTCTTCTTCAAATTGAATACTTTGTATTGATTTGTCATTAAATTAGTTGGTGATCTCTTCTGCCAATTCAAATCTACCATCAAACCTCTCTAGTAAATTTTCCGCTTTAATCATTATACTTTTAATCTCCAGAATTTCCATTGACACTCCAGTCACAATAAGTGCACCCAGTGCCCACATCTTGGTTTCTAAAGTCTCTCTCCAATAAAAGGAATCAGAAATCTTTAAATAAATGGCTGATTCTAGGGCTAGGGTAAGGATTATACAAGAGGGGCCTAGAGCATCGTGTAGTGCCAGGAGGTAAAGAAGTGTTTAAAACCCCCACAAGAATGAGATTATGCCAGAGGGACACAGGAACCAACTGAAAGAGCTCCCAATAGCCAAAGCTGGAATAATCTGAGCAACAAAATAAAGCACATGCAGTGCACAATAGGAGATCGAGACCATCCTGGCCAACACAGTGAAACCTAGTCTCTACTAAAATACAAAAAAAAAGAAAAAAAATTAGCTGTGTGTGCTGGTGTGTGCCTGTAGTCCCAGCTAATCGGTTGGCTCAGGCAGGGGAATCGCTTGAATCTGGGAGGTGGAGGTTGCAGTGGGCCGAGATCATGCCACTGCACTCCAGCCTGGGTGACAGAGCGAGACTCTGTCTCAAAAAAATAATAAATAAAAATAAATGTTCACGAATCCTTACTGATATATATGTGTGTATATATGTAAATATATGTATATATACATAGAGTGGTGTATATACATAGGCATATGTATTTCTAATGTAGTTTGCCTAGTGATACCTTTATCTACATTATCACTAGGCAATCTACATGTTTATGAGTAAGCCTTGTAAGTCTTCCAAGTTGCTACTGCTCTCAACCTCTTTCTACTGCCCCCTGTCTGGAGCAGGGAGGACTCAGTCCACCCAGGAGCCAGCATCCATTTCAGAAGAGGTGGGTAGGTTGATCTGAGAAGGGAGGGACACAGCCGTGCTTCCAGCATTCCTCTTCCATGATTTAAAGTGGAAAGTCGCATCAGACGCCCCAAGTCTCTGCCCTTGACTTGAAAGAAAGAGACCAGTGCCACTAGGAGGGCCAGGTGGCCAAAGCCACCTGCCTCTGAAGCTTTTCAAGGGAAGTTGTTCCTCCAGTTCTGCCAAGGACGACGTGTCTCTAAACATCAGTCAGTTAATATTTTGCGAGTCACAAATTCTGCAACGAAGTGACATAAAGGGATAGCTTTTCTCTCCCACAGCAGTGACCGGTCAGAGACCACTGGAGCAGAGTAATGAGAATGGCTGAAGGAGACACCTGGGGATGCTTGAAGCTGCCCCCCGGAGCACGGTCCAGACACCTCCACGGTGAGTCCCAGTGTCAGGAGCAGGCGAGGGGAGGCCCAGGGAGTAACCAATGAATCACAACATTGTAAGTCATTTTAAAACCAATTTATCTGCCAGCTCCTCTTTCCTTTCTTCCTTCATCAGCTCACCCTCAGCCCCATGGCGGGCGTGTGAGTGAGTCAGACATGCTCCCGTGGTGTCAGATGCCATCCTCAGCCTCATGACTCCCAAATCGTTTTTATGCACTGCTGACCCATGGCTGTGTCTGACCGCTGCCCCTGTCAACGGTACCCCTAACTTCAATGGGTGAATTCAACTCGCATCCTCTGCCCTGGAACACATCTTTTCCTTTCGGGGTGGGGGGCATTGAGCAGAGGAAAGAAATCTAACATAAGAGATGCCAGGAGTCCAGTCACGGCCCTGCCACCCCATTGCTAGACTGCACCCAACGTCTGGGACACCTGAGCCGTCGGAGGGCAGCAAGGAATGCGGTGGGTGCTGTGCTGGGCTGATGGTGCTGTGGGTGCATCGTCCTAGAGACAGAGCGGATGACAGCCACTCAGAGGAGGCAGGCCCTGCATCCCGGCATTGGGAGAGAATGCACTTGGAGAACCCAGAGAGGCCCTCAGATCCCTAGCCCAACAGTCACCAGATTGCCTATTTGGTAGAACAGATGTGTATGCATCAACCTTTTTGCTCTGGAGAGAAATACATCCACCTATTCCCTGGGTCGGTTACTACTTTTGATGGAACTACCCCACTATGGGAGGCTCTTTGGTAATAGATACCTGGATAACGGCTCCAGTCTCTTCCTAGAATTTTTTGTCCATTGAGCTATGTGTATATGTGGGGGTGGGGGTCATCAGCAAGAGCCAGTGGTCAGCAGAGGGTGGGCACACCGCCAGCCTGGCTGGCCACACCAGGGGTGAGGACGGGCAACTGGCTGCAGAATCAATTATGACCAAGCAAGCTTTGTCCTGGGAACATAAGCATAAAGTATCGCTAGGCAATCCACTTTTATCATCAGCCTCATCAGCAGGTCTCAGGAGAGAAGCTATGGTCATCTCAGAGGATGTAACCCACATTTATTTCACCCTCCTTCCCAGCAGAGGCTCGTAGATAACAAGAGCTACAAGGACGACCTTCGCCTGATAAAAGGCCACCACGGCCAGCCTGCAGCAAGCCTCAAGCTTCCCGCGAAACTCCAGATGCAGTCCCATTAAAGTGGAAAACAGGGAGTTGACTCTCTCATAGCCATCACTCAGCATGGTCTGATGATCTAGCCAATGTTACACGCCAAGATGGAAAAAGAGGAGTGAGGATTGGAAAGGAGGAGACATACATTTTCATATTTTTGGGGTAGACAATATAACTTTCTGCATAAAATTTTCTAAGAATTTACAATGAGAGCTAATGAGGTTTAATATAAGAAGATATAAAAGTCCACAGCATGGCTATGCAATAGCCAACACTAATTGGAGACTGTAATAGAAAAAACACACCATTCGCAATAGCAATAAAACACTGAGGTATTTAGAAATAAGTATAATAAAGATGTGGGACATCTTAAATGAGAAACTAATACAATTTTATTAAGGGCTATAGACAAAGATTTAACTAATTGGAAGGCTACATCATGAATGCAAAAACTCAGTTTCAAATGTTCTGTTTTCCTGTAAAATAATCAATAAATTAAATGCAATTTCATTCAATTCCTAGCAGCATTTTCTCCTGGCACCTGATAAGGTGGATTATTCCTTCACATGGAATAGCAAAGGACCAAAGATGGTGAAGACAGGTTTGAAGAAGAAGCAGAGGGTAGAGATGTTTTCTCTAACAAATAGCCAGCGATTTCCTCTAGTTTTGATAAAGACTATTCAAGAATAAACAGATCAGCAGAACAGAACAGAAAGGCAAAAGCAGACCTGCACGGAGTGGAAACCTGCTGTGCACCACAGGGATCCATACGTCAACAGGAATGGGGGTTTGTTGGTCAAATGCCACTGATAGAAAGGTAAAATATTCACATTATTATCTAACACTGCACCGGTAATAAAGCTCAGATGGGTTAAAGTCCTACATACGAAATGCAAAACTTTAAAACATTTAGAATAAACTACAGTGAAATAGCTTTATGATGTCAAAATACAGAAAAGTTCCTTTCTTTTTTTTTTTTTTTTTGAGATGGAGTCTTGCTCTGTTGCCCAGGCTGGAATGCAGTGGCACACTGCAACCTCCACTTCCCAGGTTCAAGTGATTCTCCTGCCTCAGCCTCCTGAGTAGCTGGGATTACAGGCACACACCACCACACCAGGCTAATTTTTGTATTTTTAGTAGAGACGGGTTTCACCATATTGGCCAGGCTGGTCTTGAACTCCTGACTTCAAGTGATCCACCTGCCTCAGCGTCCCAAAGAGGTGGAATTACAGGTGTGAGCCACTGCGCCTGGCCCAGAAAAGTTTCTCAAGTAAGACATACAAACGTAAACCCCATAAAACTGAAATTTGATAAAGTTGACTATGTTATGATTAATAGCTTCTATACAACAAAAGATGCCATAAACAAAGCTGAAAGTCAAAAGACCGGCCACACTCAGGAGGAAATGTTTGCTATAAACATAACAGGCAGACGATGATTATCCATCTCATATAAAGAGCTCACACAAATCAATGAGACAAAGAGAAGTGAAACATTTATGAATAAAGTGGAGCCCTGGTATGTCATCTACCAGTCCCATTTTCTTCTCTCCTTGACAGTCTTATCAATCATGTTTGAAATCTTTACTACAATGTATCCTGTTGTTTCAGTAAAGATATATGTGCTTACATATGCATGTTTACTGTGTAATGAACTCAGTGAAAACCAGGCGAATGATACAAACTCACAATTAACAGAAAAGGAAATGAGACATGCAATGACCGTGAAAAGATGCAGACTCTCCCCAGTTACCAGGAAAATGCAAATTAAAGTAACCTTTTGTTTTACAGTCATCAGATTAACAAAGATTAGGGATCTAAGAGTAAAAAAGCTGGCAGTGGGCGAGGGAGCGCTTAGCCCATGCTGAAGGGAAGGTTCATTGGCTCCACCTTTCAAAGAGCCATTTGGCTACTCCTAGTGAAGCTGGAACCAGGCATGTCCCTCCACCTGGCAAAGTCCCTCTCTCCTAGACTAGGGACCATGTTGCATGTTTGCACAAGAAAGGTTCCCCAGGAATGTGGGCTGCTGCCCCCCTTATGACAGTGACCCATCAAAACAATGAAGGCTGGCGAGTGAGCACAGGCTATACATCCATGGCATATGTGTACAAAGTACTATCCAGTAGTTGGTCTGTTATACACATGACAGACCAGTGTTCATCATCCAGCGTGTGTAGAGAACTCACAGAAATTAGTAAGTCAGAGGCATCTGCAACAGTTGGTCCTGCACAGATGCAGACCAACCTGAAAATGCAATGTTGAGTTAAAAAAGAAACAAGTGGCACACATTATAAGCACCGTGGGGTACGATTTGTGTAAAGTATTAAAACATATCTTTACTAAACAGCAGGATAGATTGTGGTAAAGATATCAAACATGATTGAGAAGGCTGTGGAGGAGAGAGGAAAATGTGATTGCTGAATGATATACCAGGGCTCTATTCATAATGCTTTACTTCTAAAAATGATTACCTAAAGCAAATATGGCAGAATGCTAATATTTGTCATGCCCAGGTGGTGGGTTCAGTTCATATTATCCTACGTAATTTGTTCTCAATGTTGGAACTATCCCATAATAAAACACTGGAGCAAAGAACACAGATCATGAAGAAAAACAAAACCTAAGAAGAAATACAAGAAAACGAAAGATGCTAGGGTCGCAGAATAGGGTGGGAAAGCGAGCCAGTGGAGTCAGGACAGGTGTGAAAGAGAGAAACCGTCTCAGAAGCAAGCAGGGGAGACTGCTGGAGGTGGTGTCAAGGACATTTATTCATTCAACAAATAATCACTGAGCACTGTGAGAGTCAGGTCCTGGGGACTCAGAGAGTTGTGTCTGTTGCAGAAAGTCAGGGACCCTGAATGGAGGGACTGGCTGGAGCTGTGGCAAAGGAATATAAATTGTGCAGATTTCATTTTAATATGGACATATATCAGTTTCCAAAATTGATACTTTTATAAATTTCTTACGCCTGTCTTTACTGCAATCTCTGAACATAAATTGTAAAGATTTCATTTTAATATGGACATTTATCAGTTCCCAAAATTAATACTTTTATTTCTTGTGCCTGTCTTTACTTTAATCTCTTAATCCTGTTATCTTGGTAAACTGAGAATGTACGTCACCTCAGGACCACTATTGTGTTAAACTATACAAATTGATTGTAAAACATGTGTGTTTGAACAATATGAAATCAGTGCACCTTGAAAAAGAACAGAATGACAGCGATTTTGGGGAACAAAGGAAGACAACCATAAGGTCTGACTGCCTGCGGGGTCAGGCAGAATAGAGCCATATTTTTCTTCTTGCAGAGAGCCTATAAGAGCCTACAAACGGACATGCAAGTAGGGAAGATATCGCTGAATTCTTTTCCTAGCAAGGAATATTAATAATTAAGACCCTGGGAAAGGAATGCATTCCTGGGGGGAGGTCTATAAACGGCCGCTCTGGGAGTGTCTGTCTTATGCAGTTGAGATAAGGACTGAAATATGCCCTGGTCTCCTGCAGTACCCTCAGGCTTAGTAGGGTGGGGGAAAAAACCCACCCTGGTGAATTTGAGGTCAGACTGGTTCTCTGCTCTCGAATCCTGTTTTCTGTTGTTTAAGATGTTTATCAAGACAATACGTGCACAGCTGAACATCGACCCTTATCAGGAGATTTTGATTTCGCTCTTTGCCTTGTGATCTTTGCTTTACCCTTTGCCTCGTGATCTTTATTGGCCTCAGAAGCATGTGATCTTTGTTATCCTTTTTGCCCTTTGATGCATGTGATCTTTGTTACCTACTCCCTGTTCGTACACCCCCTCCCCTTTGAAAGTCCTTAATAAAAACCTTTGCAGCTCAGGAGGGCATCATGGTCCTACCGATATGTGATGTCACCCCCAGAGGCCCAGCTGTAAAATTCCTCTCTTTGTACTCTTTCTTTTTATTTCTCAGCCAGCCAAAACGTAGGGAAAATAGAAAGAACCTACGTTGAAATATTGGGGGTGGGTTCCCCTGATAGTCTCCCCATGGGGAGAGAGGCAAACAGCCAGGAAGAGCAAATCCAGAAGCTTTCAGATTGTGCTGCTGAGGGCTGTGGAGGGCTGTGCCTGGTGGTACGGTGGGGACTGGACGGGTGGGCTTGCTCTGTAGGGGTGGACCCAGGACCCGGGGCAGCAGGGGCGGTGCTCAGAGCCTGCCCAGCTTGTTGCTGGCAGTGGGAGTGGCCGATGCAGCACTGGCTGCGGGGGGCTTGGCAGGTCTGGAAAGAGAAAGGTGCCCACTTGGCTGGGGGTTGAGAGGAGGCTCCGGTCCGCTCCAGCCAAGGTGTGGACCTGGAGCTCTCGCCAGAGCTAGAAAAGGTGATCTCCATGGGTATTGGAGCAAGGACGTCAGGGCCACCCAGACATGTGGGGGAGCCATGGGTAGAGAGTGAGCTTCCTGGGGAGTGGGAAGCCCAGCCAGGAAAGGCAGCCTCAAGCTTTGGGAAACATCAGAATGGCAACCTTATGCCATGGAGTGGCCTCTGAGCCACAGAGAAAGCGGAGGAGAGTAGAGATACAGGCATTTAGGGAGAAGAAGGATCTTTTTGTTTCTGCCTCCAAAGAAAAGAAAAAGAAAAATGAAAGAAGAACAACAAGAAATAGAGCAGAAAAGAATTCAAGCATGGATGGGTTTGGGTGGGGCTGGGAAATGGAGGGCTCCAAGCAGTAGAGCAGAGGGTCCAGCACAGGGAGGTGAGGTAGGAGGGGCTGGAAAGAAAGCCCAGATGGGCCCAGCCTGAATCACTATGGCAGGGGTCCTCAGGGGTTACCCAGGAAACTACCACAAATCTCGAGTCGCCATCAGTAGTGGTGACGGGGGAGTGGGTGGAAAAGCCGGAGAAGCCACCAGCTGGTGAAAAGGCCCTGGGTCCCCCCGCCACCTTCCAAATTTCACCTTACTCCTCCTGTTGCCAACCTCACTGGAGCCATCTAGGGGACAGGGCCTGGGGGTCCTTCCTGGCTTCTCCCCCTCAATGCAGGAAAGAACTTGAAATTGGGGAAATGTGGAGTGGACATTGGACCGCCCATCCAGCCCGAAAGACACAGGAGAATGAAGACAGTCCCTGAAGCAGAGAATGCCACCTGCCTGGGGGTCAGCAGGGCACGCTTTGCTCCGGAAACACCTTCTTGACCAACACCATGCCCTGAGAGATGCCAGAATGGGGTCCTGTAAGTCTCCCGAACATGCTGATGGTGTGGTGCTGATTAAAACAATGTTCTCATGTGCAGGAGAAGCAGGCCGAAGGGTGCTGGGTGAAGGGCATGGACCTGGTAACATTCTCATAGACCATGTTTATTTCCTGTAAAAATAAGACCAGATCCCACTGGTGACAAGGGCTGTGACCAGGACTGAGTTCTTTAAGGTTGCAGGACTGAGGTCTCTGTGTTCTTGCTGCTGTCAGCTTAGGGCCGTTCCCACTTCTAGAGGCTGTTGTGTTATTTGGTGAGTGACCTCGCAGCTCCACGTCTCGGCCAGTGCTGGAAGGCTGAGTCCTCTTGCTCTCCAGGGGGCCCTCCCTCTGCTCCTGGCAGGTGTCTGCTCACCCCTTAGAGCAGTGTTTGATGTCAGGCCCTTGAAGTCTTTGGTGTTCTCGGTGCCCTTGGGACCCTGAACAGACAGAGTGACCCTGTGGTGGAAAATCCTTGCTGCCCCACGTCAGGTGTGTTCCTCAGACTGCAGGCCCGCATGCACCCTGCCCGTGTGCAGTGCCTCCTCATTCCTGTCTGCTGGAGACGGCTTCTGGGGGCCTCTTCTGTGGCTCAGGTGCTTGCTGAAGGTGGACAGCGCTTCGAATTTAAACTGCACAACTCAAGTGCTGTTCCTGGGAGCATCTCAGGGTTTGGTCCAGGTGCCTCGTGACCTCTGCAGGCTCTGTTACTGCTTTTCCAGAAACACTCTCTTTGAGCTGCGTCTGTGCATATTAAAGGAAATCCATCAGCATCATTTTCTTTAATTTTCAGTTCCTATTAGCAGTATTGACCAGAGGGTTCCCCAGGGCAGGGGGCAGGTGGGGTGAGGGCAGCTCCCCTGGCTCAGCCCGTCCATCTCTCCTGCCTGACTGGTGTTTAGATTAGAGTTCAATTCCATTTTAGTCCACTTCCAATTCAATTCCATTCAGTTCAAATCCGAATTCCATTCCATTCCAATCCATTTTCATTCAGTCTAACTCAATTTCATTTCAGTCCAGTTCAAGTCCACATTTAGTTTCTATTTTGCTTAATACAGGTTCACAGACCTTCCACTGTGCCCCAGCCTCACGCTGGGCACCGAGGGAGGTGGGAGCTGGCAGCAGCCTGGGCAGAGGGACCCACTGCGGAGATGTGGGGGAACAGGCCTCACCCAGAAATGGCCACCGGATGAAGCAGGAGCGTGTGGGGGCCACAGAACAAGAAGTCCATCCCTGTTCCTTAATTGAGCCACCCACGTTAGCGTGACCCATGCTCAGGCTGGTGCTCTTGCCTGGACCCATCATGGTGGTTTTCCCAAGCACACCCATGGCTGCTGTCCTGTGGGTCAAAGGCATGGCTGGGCCAGTGGGAAACATGGATTAAACACATTGAGCATTTCACTGCAGTCCTTCCTAGAGTCTCCTGGGCACTGGTGGGCATTGACAACTTCTAAAAAGGGACAAGTGTAGTTTCAGGGCCTCAGAGGGCAGAACCTGGCTGGAAGCCAGCTGGGCCGGTGGGCAGAGCAGAGCTGCTGTCTCCCAGTGTGGAAGGAGAGTGAGTGTGTCAGGATTGCCTGGCTCTGGGGCACTTCCTGGGTTGGAGTTTCAGCTTTCAGGAGCCCCAAATGAGCCCCTCATTTCAAGGCCGCCAGGGGCAAGCTTTCTGCCTCTCAGGACAAAACTGACAAGGAATTGGCCACGTCCTGCCTGTTCAACCATGTGTGAGTGACGAGGGCTTGTGCAGACACACATCTGCTCCCTGGACTGCCATGATGGAGGCAGAGGAGCATCTGCATCTGCAGGAGCTCTGCCAGTGGCCCCCAGCACCCCTCGAGCTGGGGGGAAATGGAGTCCGGCTCCACGGCTGCTATCCTGGGATGCAGTGGCCAGGCCTGCTGGGATCCTATGAAGAGGCAAGCGGAGAAGCCAGATCCCCCTGTGTTCTGTCCCCGTGGGGGCTAACGGCCACACTGCCCCAAAGTTGCATCTGGGACTCTTTGGAATAGGAGTGGTTTGCATGAGAAATTTGAGGATGCAAACTCAATTCATCATTATTTATGAACCAGCACAGAGGAGTTTATTACTCTGATCACTCACTAATCATTCCTTATAAATGCGGGGACCAACAAAATCCCACAGAATCAATAAAGTGGTAACTTCCCGGTCTAAATCACGGCACCTAGGATTCTTGAGTAAACCTTTCGGTAATTTACAAAGGCTGTTGAATTTTATAGTAAGAGTTTTTCAAACCAAGCTGGATTCTAAACAATAATGACTTTTTAATGTGGTTCTGTGATTACGTTGTCACCGTGAAATACGGGGGTCTTTGACTGCATCCAAAATGAGCCTGGTGTGAATTACTTGCAGGCACAGACCAGCACGGCCCCAGGTAAAGCAATCTTCATAAATTACTCTCCAATCCGGGTGGCCTGGCAGGCGAGGCCTGATGCCGATGTTTGCAACTCAATTTTCAATGGACAATTTGTAAACAAGCTCTTCCTTTTGTTCGGGGCAGTGGCCACGGCCGCCGCCTCTGAGTGGAGGGGCTGAGCTCCCCCCAGGCTTTCACACGCCGGCTGAGACTTTGTGTGAGTCCAGGACAGTGGCTGCTCGTCCACGGAGCTGCTTAAAGGGAAGTGAATGAAAGGAACTGACGCTGGGTGCCAGCCACGCGCCAGGTGCACATGGCCCATGTGGCACCATACGGGGAGCCAAGAAAGAAACTGTTTCCTCCTCCTAGAAAGTCCTGCTGGGTGGCTGCCCTCCAACAACCACACAATCCCCTCCCTCATTCACTCTAATGATTCCAACACCCCTTCCCGGAGGGCTCAGAATCCCCACTGCCCCTGCACCTGGGAGTCCTGCCCACCCTGTTTCTGAACCACTGAGTGACTCTGTTTGGGTGTCTCAGTGGGCCAGGGCCTGTGCTCCATACAGTGAGAGCAGGTTTCCATCAGAGACCTTCAGCCCACCCCAGGGGACTATGAGGCATGGCTTGGGCGTAGGGGGAGCCATGGACGCTCTCAAATCCAAAGCCACTGGGCAGATGGGTGAGCTTGGCTCAAATCCATGAACCCAGGTGTGGGCAACGGGGCTTGCGAGGCTGGGTGAAGGCCTGGGGACTCTGAGGTGGCTGGACTGCGGCCGCAGCCGTGGGTGCTGGTGCTTGCCCATCCCTGCCCTGCGGCTCTTGCTCCACAGGCGGGGGAGCCCAGGACCCTGGCCCAGGGACAGAGTGAGGCTCCTCAGCCCCAGGGGCAGCTTCAGGTCTGGGACGGGGGAGCGATTAGGGCGGTTCCCACCTGGACTTTCACACCAGGGCCCCTCGCCCTGGCCGTCCCTACTGCCCAGCCTGGGAGCTCCAGGACAGGCCCTGCCTTGCCCTGTGCCTGGTCTTGAGGAGAGTTTGCTGAGGGCATCCATGCCGAGTGCCCTTAGGGGCAGGACCGGGATTTGCACCCCACCCCAGGTGCCTCAGTCCTAAGGTGCCTCGCCCTGTGCCTGGTCTTGAGGAGAGTTTGCTGAGGGCATCCATGCCGAGTGCCCTTGGGGGCAGGACCGGGATTGGCACCCCCACCCCAGGTGCCTCAGTCCTAAGGTGCCTCGCCCTGTGCCTGGTCTTGAGGAGAGTTTGCTGAGGGCATCCATGCCGAGTGCCCTTGGGGGCAGGACCGGGATTGGCACCCCCACCCCAGGTGCCTCAGTCCTAAGGGCCCTCCTTGCACATGAGCTCACTCGTCCCTGGGCAGAGAGCCCCACTTCCTGGGGTACAAAGTCATCTCCTCCTTGTTGCTCTGGATGCTTCCACGGCAACAGATTCTTCCGCAGCAGAGTGGCAGGGCACCCCTTCCCCGACCGTCTGCCTCCCAGCATGCTGGTGGAGGGGCTCGCTCCCGTCCACATGGCTGCCATGGGCTCCCACCTTCCTCTGGGCACCCTGGGTGCACCAAGGTGTTTTAGAAGGAGCTGCGCCGGCTTGGAGGCGAGAAGGGCAGGAAGAGGCTGCACAGGTGCTCAGCAGGAGAGGCTTGTGTCTCAGGCCTTGGGTACTTAGAAATCTGTTTTACACAGGCTCTCTTTCTGATTTTATGTAAAGTGGGGTTTCACAGCTACACACATTTATTCCGATGTTCCACCGGGGAGAGCTTCTCCAGGACCGCGGGGCTCCAAGCCCCATGGCTCTTGAGGTGGCTCCAGTGTGCAGTGGACACTTCCAGGGTGTCCCAGGGTCCCTTGGGGGCTCTGTGGAGACTCCTGTTTCTGAGAGTGGAGACCTGTGTTCGTTCTCCCTAAAGGCCTTCCTTCTGGTGCCCTCCCCTGCCATTCATGGCTGTTTCCAGAGGCAAGTTGGAAGTGGGGGTGCAGCTGGGGCTGTGGAAAGCTCTCTCTGCAATGCGCTGGGGGGTCTCTGTGGGACACAGAGGCTGGAGCTGGAGGGGTTGGGAGTCCAGGGGGACCCGAGGTAAAGGCTGCCGGCACTAGGGCTTTCCCCAGCACCTGCCACTGAGGCTGCTGCAGGAACCGGGCAGGGACGGCCTCCAGACCTGGGGTCCTGATGACTTAGCTTTCGCCCCGATCCTGCCATCTGGGGGCTGAGGTTCTGCCTGGACGGCTGCCCCGAGAGGAGACCGTGCAAACCCCTGGCTCCTGGGGTGGTCTCCTGTAGCCTGTCAGCAAGATCCCCTCTGCCCTTGACAGGGACACTGGGTGCCCTAGGGAGGCCTCAGCAGCCTGTTTCATAGCCGAGGACGCTGAGGCCTGGAGCACAGGGACGCCCACCTGAGGCCCCACAGCTGGTGAGAGGCAGATGTGAGGGTGGGGCCCTCTCGGTCAGATGCTATCTGCCTCGTGGTACGGCTGTTGGGGTCGGGGGAGCTGGTTTGGGGAGGGGTCCGGGAGCCACTCCACTGGGGTAGTTGCAGTGCTCACAGTTAAGCTCTTGGTACTGGCTGTGTTCCGTGCCCCGGGCAGGCAGCACCTCCTTCCATCCTAAAATCCCCTCTGAGGTACTCAGTATCTTATCCCTCTTCTGTTGATAGGGAAACTGAGTCCCAGAGTCTCCATCAATAGGCTGGCCAGAGGAGCTTGGGTCCAGGCCCAGGCAGCCCTGCCTTGCGGGTGTGAAAAGCCTGGTCTCCACTGCCAGGCTGGCGCCCACCTACGGGTGGGGACCAGGCCCCAGGCCTCGATGTGCACACGCAGGAGCCGGGTTCCTAGTGGCCGCTTGACTTCATAGGATTGCTGAGAAAATCAAACGGCTAAGGAATGGCAGATGGCTGGACCCAAGTAAGGAGTTGTTAGTAAGTTCCTTTCTGGTATTTAAGCAAAGCATTTGTTTGCAGCCCTGGGACTGTTTTCAAGAGGAAAAAGGCCCTGCAAAGAAGCAAGCAGAGACTCTTTAATGTCCCTTTTTTAATTTAAAAAAAAAAAAAAAGGTAGAAGTCAGGAGCCAAATTGCCTCCCATCAAGACACCAGAGAGAACCGATTTAATTTCCATAATGTAGGACAACAATGAGCGCACAGCCTCACGGGAGAATAAATCCAGCCACTTTAAGGGGAGAAGGGAGGCGCTAAGTATATCATGTCAAATATTAACATATGAACTTCAAATCTATGCACCAATTCAAAATCTGATTTAACAAACTGCTCTTATTAAAGTCAATTGGCGAGCATTCCATTATAAAAACAAATGAAATCTTCCCCGTCTACGAGATAAATAATTTTCTCCCCACACCTAAGCGGGAGGCATTAGCTTAACGGGTAACGATCTAAATTATGTATTAAACTCAATTACTTTTTATTACTGCTTTCCAATTAGGGTTCCCTGATTGACTCACATGGCGTGGAGACTCCTCCCGGGCAGTTCCCCATCCTCCTGGCCCCTGGATCTGGCTGTGCAGACGCCATTTGCCCTCAGCTTAATTGAGCATATCTCTCCCTCGCTCTAAGGAGAGAGTGAGGTGTGGCTTCTGCTGGAGAATGAACACGGACGGCAGCAGGATCACCGACTAAATCACCGTCTAAATCTGCCAGAGCCACTCCTGGCAGCCACTTCTGAGGCTGCAGTATCTCCCGGCCCTCTAGAGAGAGCTCCCGAAATCACCAGTATCGTGAGGGCAGCTCTGCCGAGCCCGCGGCCTCTATAGGTGCAAGCAGCGTGCTGCTGCTCCGATGAGTGTCTCCCTGTCCTCAGAGGCGCCAGTCCCCCAGCTCCTGCCCTGCGCTGGCCATGCCTCAGCCGACATTGCACCACCGTGGACTCCCCTGTGTAACCAAGAGCTTTCCTTGTTAGAATCCAGACTCTCTGAGAAGGGCTGTGTTCTTGGGCATATTTCTCAAACACCAGGGACAAACTCCTTTTAAAATGAAAAAGCGTGTAGACTGCCAAGTGCAAAAATGCTACTTGTGAGGGGCCGCTGCGCGGTGATTGCAGAGGCCAGCTTGCCCTGCAGAGCCGGTCGTGGCCGTCACGGAAGCCGGGGAGCTGTGGGAACGCCCATTCCTCAGAGTCGCCGCGTGCCCACCGTGAGCTGCTCTGAGCAACACGGCGGGAGCTGGAGGATGGGGCCAGAAGGGGCTCGAGGATGAAAGCGCGCCAGGAGGGAGACGTGACCGGGTGGCCTGCTGCAGGTGGCGGACGCCTGGGAACACGCAGCACAGGTGGGTGGGCGAACTAGGAGCGCCAGGTCGGGGGTCTGCCTGAGAATGTAGCTCTGAAATGGCGCCGTGAGGGAGGCGAGGGGTCGGCCATTCTGAGATTAGAGGAAGGGGTCCCAGCAGGGCAAGCCACCAAGACAAAGGCGCTAAGCCCCCATCTCAGGGTGGGGGTGGCAGCGGGTGGGGTCAGCCACCTTCAGGCTGGGCTTCAAGAGAGGCCTCAGAGCTGGCACCAGAGGCCCCCTCTGCCCCTGCCTCTGACTGCAGGAAGAATAAAAAGGCTGGAAAGAGGACCTGGCCGAGTTACACAGAGAAGCCCCCTCAGCCAGAAAGAGCCAGGGGAATGAGAAGCCGGAGAGCTGCTCCTGAGTTGGGGGCGCTACAGCCAGGGTCCCTGCTTGTTCCTGAGTCTTGGCTTGGATGCGGCTTAGACTTGAACTTTCATGTCCACCCGGGCCTCTCTGAGTGACCCTGACAGGGACCAAGGGCCCAGCAGCCCACACATTACCCTTGATTGCCACAAGGTGGTGGTGGGAACTCCCAGGACCCCAGGAAAGGGGGCTGGGCTTGAGCTGCCAGGTGGGGGTTCCTTGTGAGGCTTGGGGTGGGAGGGGCTGGGGTGGAGCTGGCTGGGCCTCACAGGCCCGGGAGCCAAGAAGAGAGCTTCGGTGCCTTCGCTGGGGATCCCCAGACCGGGCACTCCGGGAAGCTGGTGCTGCACCATGACAGCCACTGCTGCCACCCCACCTGGGTCCCAGAACAAGCCCTGCCAGCCCACCCCAGAGGCCGAGGGACAGGTAGGTGAGCCACAGAGGGGGCGGAAGGGACCCGAGGGCACTGAGACAGAGGCTTAAAAGGCCAAGTCAAGCTCTAAGTCCTGGAGTCAAGCAGCCGGCTGTCCCGGCACCCGGCCGCAGTGACATCCAGAGAGCAGCCCCCTAGCAGTGTCACTCAGGTGATAATGCAAGAAAGCCCTGTCCTGTGTGTGTTCAGGGCCTGGGAGGCCTCCGTGAGCTGGCTGCACAAGCCTGGGGCTGTGGCACTCGCAGAGGACCTGCCTGGCCTCTTCATGAGCACGAGGGTCTCACTTAACCCTCAACATACCCCACAGGGCCGGATTGACCTTCTCACCTCACTGGAGAGGGAGAAGAACCAGGAGAGTCTCAGGACTAAGGCACCCCTCCGGGCGTCGGGTGTGCAGGGGCCGAGCTGGGATGCCAATTCTGCGTCACAGCCGGCTGCAGGTTCCGCAGCAGTTTTAGGGGCGACATTACCGAGGTCCTTGTGGGCGGGAGAGGGAAGTGTGGTGGGGCGCAGAGTAGGCCACGGTGGGGTGGGGAAGCGTCAAGGACGATGAGCTGTCAACTGGGCGTTGAAGGATGGTGGGGCTCCATCCAGCAGAGGTGGGGGTGTGAGTGTGATGGGGGAATGGGTGTGTGAGGTGGTTGGGTTTGTGTGTATGTGTGATGAGTGTGTGTGTGGTGCATGGTGTCTGTGTGATGGGCCTGTGTGTGTGGCTGTGTGCAGGTGTACGTGTGATGAGTTTGTGTGTGTGTGGTGTGTGTGATGAGTGTGTAATGAGCATGTCTGATGAGCATATGTGTGATGTGTGTGATAAGTGTGTGTGTAATGAGTGTGATGAGTGTGTATGATGAGAATGTGTGTGGTGTGTGATGAGTGTGTGTGATGAGCATGTGTGTGATGAGTGTGTGTGGTGTGTCTGTGATGAGTGTGGGTGATGAGTGTGTGTGTGATGTGTGGGGAGTGCTGATGGGTGCAGGTGGATGTGTGTGTGTGATTGGGTGGTGTGTGTGCAATGGGTGTGTGTGATGAGTGTGTGTGTGATGTGTGGGGAATGGGGATGGGTGCAGGTGGAGGGGTGTGTGTGTGTGATGAGCAAGTTTGTGATAAGCATGTGTTTGGTGTGTGTGTGTCTGTGATGAACGTGTGTGTGGTGTGTGTGAGTGGGTGTGTGGTGTGTGTGCAATGGTGTGTGTGATGTGTGTGGGGAGTGGGGACTGGTGCAGGTGGAGGTGTGTGTATTATGAGCATGTGTGTGATAAGCATGTGGTGTGTGTGTGAGTGTGATGAATGTATGTGTGGTGTGTGAGTGTGTGTGATAAGCATGTGTGTGATGAGTGTGTGTGTGGTGTGTGCGATGGGTGTGTGTGATGAGTGTGTGTGTGATGTGTGTGGAGAGTGCTGATGGGTGCAGGTGGCGGTGTGTGTGTGATGAGCATGTGTGTGTGTGTGTGTGTGTGTGTGGCGTGTGTGGGGAGTGGGGATGGGTACAGGTGCAGGTGGATGTGCTCACCAGCCAGGTTCTCAGGCCCGTGCTAGTGCTGTACCTGGCACAGGAGGTCAGAAGGACCATTGCTCTTCCCACTAGCCAGAGCGGTGTCTGGCTTTGTCTCTCCCTTCGCCACTGAGTACCCCCAGCCAGGTGATGGCATCTCCGCAGGCCTCACCCACTTTTCTGCTCCTCCCTGTGGACTGTGGGGTCAGCACAAAGACTCCATCTGGCTACCCCGCGGCCCCTCTGGCCACGCCTGCCTGCTGGAGACTCCTCCTGGCATCCTCCGAGCCAGGCCAGGTGTGGCCTTGCTGGGCAGCCCTCCTCTTCCTGCATCCACCCACTGCGTTTCAGTGGCTCCATCCTTTATGCCACCAATGACCCCTGGACATCCCTCAGTCCCTCCAGGGACAGTGTGGTTCACAGGGCTGGTGTGCTGAACAAAGGCTGAGCTTGGGCAAGCACTGCAGGGGCTGGGACATAGGGTAGTGGCCAGGAGGCCCAAGGAGTCCTGTCCAAGAGGAGACAGGCCAGGATCTCAGGCTCAAGCCCTTGAGCCCTCTAGAGTGCCTAGCCCTGTGCTGGACTCCAAGGGGCCACAGGCAGAGAGAGAACCTGGCCTCAGCCTCTGAGACTGAGGAGCCCTAGCTCAAGTGTGTGGGCCAGGCAGAAGAGAGCCCTGAAGTTGGAGCAGTCAAGGAAAGCTGCCTGGAGGAGGCGGCCTGGGAGTCACAGCTCAATGGCACCTGAGAAGGACGGCCAAGGCCTCTGCCCCGGGGCTTGCATCCCTCTCCATCAGCACAGCTCGGGGGAATGGCCTGGAGCTGCAACACCAACGACAGACGGCGGGAAAGTGCTGTCCCCACAGCGGGCACGGAAAACCACCGGCCCTCATCCCGTCTCGCACAATCCCTGAAGTTTGCTTTTTGTTTGTTTGATTAATTCCTTCGACGTTCAAGAAAGAAATTAATTTTACTTATTCCTCAAGCGGTCATTAGAAAAGCTTTTAATGAACACAGTAAAAACCAACTAATTATCGCAATGGCATTTTACTCTAAATAAAATTGACAGCAACCAAGAAGATGGTGCCTATAATTCTCCTCAGTTTATTAAAACCCATTTATCACATTTTATCCTAGCGGAAACTGATCATACTAGTCTGTGATAATTTAACTACTATTTCCTCACTGCATCTAACACGTAAGGGGAGTTTACTGATATTAAAGTCATAATGCATTATATGGAGATGACCTTGCATTCTAATTACTGTTCTTGGTGAGGAATGGGGAAGAGAATCATTCTGTACTGCACACTCCAGATGAAGCCAATGCATGCTTAATGTGAAGCCTCTAATTAGAAAAAATTCCCTTCTCAGTTTCAGCAGAGTTGATGGTCATTTTTCCTCGTGAAATGTGTGCTGGGGGCCTTGGTGTTGGAGCCCTCCCTCTACCCCAAAGGTCATGTCCGTGCTCCAGAAACTCACCATTGTCCATCCATTCCCTGAATGACCACAGTGAACCCACATGGCCCAGGTGCCTCCAGAAGCCTGGCAGACAATTCTTAAGTGTGAAAGAAAGTGTTTGTTTCTGCTTTTTGTTAAAATTCAGAAGTCACATTCTTCCAAAAACCATACTTGAAAATTTAGCTTTTTATTATACATCTTGCTCTAAGAGTCTGTTATTGTTCCCGATCATGAAATGTCATGGGGCTCAAAGGATGGGACGCTTGATTCGCTTCCTAAATACGAGTTGCTTCTGTTGAGTTTTGCCACCAGCAGCTCCCACATGCTTGCACCCGTATCTACATGTTCATGCAGAGACCCACCCGGCTTCTGCTCACAGACACACATCTCACCTCCCACACCATCTTCCCTGCTTGTGGTGGTTAATTTTAGGTGTCAACTTGACTGCACTGAGGGATGCCTAGATAGTTGATAAAACATTTCTGGATGTGTCTTTGAAGGTGTCTCTGGAAGAGATTAACATTTGAGTCAGTGGACTGAGTACAGACCTGCCCTCATCAAAGTGAGCAAGCATCACTTAATCCAAGGAGGGCCTGAGTAGAGCGAAAAGCCTGAGGAAGGGTGAACTCACTTTCTTCTTTAGCTGGGACATCCATCTTCTCCTGCCCTCGACCATTGGTGCCTCTGATTCTCTGGTCTTTGGACTCAGATTGAATAACACCACTGACTTCCCTGGTTCTCCAGCTTGCAGATGGCAGATTGTGGGACTTCTTGGCTTCCATAACTACATAAGTTGATTCCTATAATAAATCTCCTCATATATATGTATATATATATATACATATATATGTTCATATTCTATTAATTCTGTTTTTTGTAGAACTCTGAATAATATAGATTTTGGTACCAAGAGTGGATCTAGAGGACCAGAATTTTGAGGACGAGTTTTCTGAATTCTTTCTGGAGTTTCTGGAATTGGCTCTTTAATCCAACTATATGTAAAGACACTAATGACTGTATTTCCGGTAGTAAAGAGAGCACTGATCATCCATGGCACAAACTATAGAGATATGCAAAATATCTGCATTGGATCCTTCTAATAAACTACTTGTAAGAAGCGAGGAGCTACATGACTCTGTATATGATACTTTTGAACATTTTAGGAAAACTGAGGAATATAATGACATTGGTTGCTTCTAATGTCATTGGACAAAGTGGTAAAAGAAAAAGATGAGCTCAGGGATTCAAATTCCCAGCTCAAGAGCCACAAAAATGACCTAAGAGTTTCTATGTTTGCCCCAGGAGCCTTATCTCATACAACCACAGGGCTGAAGTTTCTGAAAATCAAACTCAGGACCTCATCCTGCAATTGGCCAAATTATTAATACAATGCAAGTTGAGCTCCCAGCCTCCTGGAATGTCTACTCTTGAGTGGGGAAATTGACTGGGAAAGAACGGGATACTGTAAGTTGCAATGGGGACATGTGGGAAGACCCTGATGAAGCTGGGGGTATCAAGCCCCTAAGTTCTGATGTTTATTATTTGCCAGTGGAAGAGGTCCCCCCACGCTCAAAAAAAGTGGCCTTCACATCCCTGGTGGCAGGAGCATCCCTGCCAACAGTGGTGTAGCCTTTCCACCTGACTTGAAGGAGTCCCCCGCATCCTGAGTAATATCTTCCTCTGAGGTGGTGGCCAAGCAGGACAATGCTGATTATTTTCAGGACCCACCCTCACCGCCCCTCTTTGCCTCTAGCCCTATAACTAGACCCAAACCCCAGTAGGCCCTGAAGGTGAGGGACAAACTGTGACCCATGAGAAGGTATGCTGCTCTCCAAAAGAACAACATGGGTTTTCTAATTTATACGAGCAGAAATCCAGGGAACATGGATGGGAATGAATATTAAGGGTGTGGGATGGTAGTGGAAGGAACATAAAGTTGGATCAGGCCAAATTTATTGATATGGGCTCAGTAAGCAATGATTCTGGATTTAATGTTGCAGGTCAACGAGTTAGAAAGGGCTCAGTTTGGTTGGATGGCGGAACAGGGGTCAAAAGATAGTCTGCCCTGCCGTGAGCAAACTGGAAAGATCCAAACTCCCCGGTTTAATGTAGAGGGGGTTTAAAGGGCTCAGGGAAGCTGGTGTGTTAGAGTGGGTTTGTCATTTCAGACCTAGTTGCCCACACGCGGGGATCTGGAAGACTGGCCTTTCACCAACACCTCGAGAAAGAACTGTGTGAGGGGGTCCCAGCTTCCTTGAAGAGCTCCGCCATAACTCGTCCCTGTAAGTCAGACCTTATGGTGGGAACCACAGCCACTCAGCTGGAGACCTAAGTGCAAGGGGAGCAACTGGATCCTGTGGTGGGGGATCCCACAGGCAAGGTGGGTGCAGGCATAGCAATGGGCAGGAGTGGCACAGCAGCAATCAGAACAACCTGGCTCATGAGACTCATGGCTCTGGCCCGTTATCATGGGGCTCCTGGAAAGGAATTTGATCAGAAGCCTACTAAATCCTTACATGATCTGTATAAGCAGGAAAGTTTTAGGTCAAGTGAACAAAAGTCTAAGTCGAATCTGGGCATAGTGGCACATGCCTGTGGTCCCAGTTACTCAGGAGGTTGAGGCAGGGGCATCTGTTGAGCCTGGGAGTTTGAGGCTGCAGTGAGCTATGAACACATCACTGCACTCTAGCCTGGATGACGTAATGATATCCAGTCTCTAAAAACAAAAGTCTAACTCAAATAATAAAATCATGACTCTCAAAGCACAGAGTCATGGCCCCTCAACCAATTCTCAGACCTGAGCCAATCTACAGACTCAGAACCAGCGAATGAAGGGACGACAGTGTCCCCCTGGGAAACAACTCTGTAAATTCCCCGAAATGTATACTCTTAATCTTTTCCCCAGCCTTTCCCAAAGGGACCTACCTTACGTTTTACCAGGTGACTGTGCACTGGGGAAAAGGAAATACTCAGACCTTTCAGGGACTGCTGAACTCTGGCTCTGCACTGACATTGACTCCAGAAGATTGAAAAGGTCTCTGTGGCCATCCAGGCAGAGTAGGGGCTTATGGAGCTCAATGATCAATGGAGTTTTAGCTCAGGTTCATTTTACAGTGGGCCCAGTGGGTCCCCAAACCCATCCTGTAGTTATTTCCCCATTCCAGAATGCATAATCGGAAGAGACGTAATTGAGGAGCTGGTAGCATCTACACATTGGGTCCCTGACCTGTGGAGTAAGGACTATTACAGTGAAGAAGACCAAGTAGAAGCCATTGCAACTGCTTAGGAAAATAATACAGTAGTCCCCCTTTATCTGCAGGCAATATGTTCTAAGACCCCAGTGGATGCCTGACACCATGGACATATAAACCACCAAACACTATATATACTATGTTTCTTCCTATACTTACATACCAATGATAAAGTTTAATTTATAAATTTGGCACCGTAGGAGATTAGCAACAATAATAAAATCAAACAATTAGAAGAATATGCTGCAATAAAAGCTCTGCGAATGTGATTTCTCTCTCTCAAAATATCTTGTACTGTGCAACAGGTCACTTAAAATGTGGAAAGTGAAACCAGGGATAAGTGGTGACTGCTATAAGTCAAAAACAATCCCATATTCCTGGAAGGACTGTGGAGATCATGCCACCATCGGGAACTTGCAAGGTGCAGGGCTGGCGATTCTCACCACATTCCCACTCGACTCTCCGATTTGGCCTGTAAGGAACACAGATGGATCTTGGAGAGTGACTGAAATACCACAAGCTTAACCAGGTGGTGACTCCAATTGCAGCTGCTGTACCAGATGTGGTTTCATTGCTTGAGCAAATTAACACATCCTCTGTTACCTGGTACACGGCTATTGATCCAGCAAATGCCTTTTGTCCATCCCTGTCCAGAAGGCCAGCCAGAAGCAGTTTTCTTTCAGCTGGCAAGGCCAGCAATACACATTCACTGTCCCATCTCAGGGACAGTGTCCCATCAACTCTCTAGCCTTACATTATAATTTAGTCTGCAGGAATCTTGGTTGCTTTTCCCATGGGATGCCACACTGGTGCATTACATTGATGACATTGTGCGGATTGGACTTAGTGAGCAAGAAGTAGCAACTACTCTACATTTATTGGTGAGACGTCTGTGTGTCAGAGGGTGTTATCTGACCCACCAAGCCACATGGTTAGGTATGCATAGCAACACTCTGTCATCAAATGGAAGTGGTACGTATGTGATTGGGTCCAACCAGACCCTGAATGCTCAAGTAGGTTACATGAAAGGGCCAAAGTGCCCACGGTCCCCACCCCTGCTCCACTGCCTTTCTCAGCTGAGATCCTCTCTCCCAGCCTGTGCCTGTGGCCTCGTGGGGGAGCTCCCCATGATCATTTGACAGAGTAAGAGATAATTCAGGCCTGGTTTACAGATGGCTCTGCCCCATATGCAGGCACCATCTGAAAGTGGATGCTGCAGAACTACAGCTCCTTCCTGGGACATCCCTGGAGGACAGTGGGGAAGGGAAGTCCTCCTGGGCAGAGCTGTGGGCAATGCACCTGGCTGTGCACTTTGCTTGGAAGGAGCAGTGGGCAGTTGTGCAGTGATGGACTAATTCACGGGCCGTGCTCAGTGTTTATGCTGGATGGTCAGGAACATGGAAAGAAGGATTGGAAAAATTGGTGAAGAAGATATTTGGGGGAAAAGATATGTGGATAGCCCTCTTAGAATGGGCAAAAATCATGAAGATATGTCTGTCCCATGTGAATGGTCAGCAATGAATGACCATAGCAGAGGAGGGTTTTAGGAATCAAGTGGACAGAATGACTCCTTCTGTGGACACTGGTCAGCCTCTTGCCAAGCCACCCCTGTCATGGCCCAATGAGCTCATAAAGTAAGCAGGCATGGTGGCAGGGATGGAGGTAGTACATGGGCTCAGAAACATGGACTCCCATTCACCAAGGCCTAACTGGCTCCGGACACTGCTGACTGCCCAATCTGCCAGCAGCGGAGACCAACACCAAGCCCTTGATATGGCACCATTCCCAGGCGATCAGCCAGCTACCTGGGGCAGGTTGATAACATTGCATGGTCCCCAGCATGGAAGGGGCAGAGGTTTGTCCTTACTGGAAAAACCACCATCCATGGACTCACAGGATGCCTTACCCACTGTCACGGTGTTCCACCTCGCACTGCTTCTCACCGAGGAACTCACTTCACAGCCAAAGAAGTGCAACGATGCTCATGTTGCATCCTGAAGCAGCTGGTGTGATAGAATGATGCGATGGCCTTTTGAAGGTCAATTACCAACTAGATGGCAATACCTTGCAGGGCTGGGACCAGGTGCTCCCTGCAACTTTGTATTCTGCTGGCCTATGGGTCTTAGTTCCAGAGGCAGAAATGCTTCAACCAGGAGGCACAACAGTGATCCCATTGAATTGAAAGTTAGGGCTGGGCATGGTGGCTCATGCCTGTAATCCCAGCACTTTGGGAGGCCAAGGCGGGTGGATCACGAGGTCAGGAGATCGAGACCATCCTGGCTAACATGGTGAAACCCCGTGTCTACTAAAAATACAAAAAATTAGCCGGGTGTGGTGGCAGGCACCTGTCGTCCCAGCTACTCGGGAGGCTGAGTCAGGAGAATGGCGTGAACCTGGGAGGTGGAGCTTGCAGTGAGCAGAGATCGCACCACTGCATTCCAGCCTGGGTGACAGAGTGAGACTCTGTCTCAAAAAAAAAAAAAAAAGAAAGAAAGTTAGTATGCCATTTTGGGACCCTCAAGCCTCAAGAGTCAGCAGGCTGAGAGGGGAATAAAGGCGCTGGCTGGGGTGATTGATTGGAATACTGAGGGGAAATTGGACTGCACTCCTCCATGGAGGGAAGGAACAGTGTGTCTGGGAGACAGGAGATCCTCAGGCATGTCTTGGCACTGCCATGCTCTGTGATTAAAGTCACTGGAAACCACAATAATACAATTCAGGCAGGACCTCTATTGGCTCAGACCCTTCAAGAATGAAGGTTTTGGGTCAGTCCACCAGTAAAGAACCATGGCCAGCTGCGGCGCTTGCTAAGGGCAAAGGGATATGGATTGGGTGGTGGAAGAAGGGGGTTATTAATACCAGTGACAACTACATGGCTGGTGGGAGAAATAAGGACTGTCATTGTCAGAATGTCCTCCTCGTTTTGTAACTTATATGTTTGTGTGAATATATACATATATTAACCAAATATATTTGTTTTCTCTGTTATCTCCTTAGCATGTAGCATAAAATGTAACAACTTCGTATCAGTATTTAAACGCTGTTAATTTTACATCTTGGTTTTTATGTTACGGGACATCAGGAGAAAAGTGACTATCACTCAAGGACTTGACCAGCTCTTTTGGGGAAGGAATTAGTGTGTTTTTGGTTGTATGTACGATAGTTGTATCAGATTAGGCAGGACTGTGATCGGATTGTATTTATTGGAGACTAAATATAGTTGAAGATTTGTATGGATGCTAAGTTGACAAAGGGTGGACTCGTGGGGTTAATTTCATGCATCAAATTGACTGGGCTAAGGGAAGCCCAGGTAGCTGGTAAGCATTCTTTGTCGATGTGAGGATGTCTCCAGAGGAGATTAGCATTTGAACTGGTGAAGATGATCTGCCCTCACCAATATGTGCCAGCATCATCACACCCACCCAAGGCCCGGGTAGAACAGAAGGGTGGAGTCAGGGCACATCCTCCATCTCCTCTTGAGCTGGGGCAGCCACCTTCTCCTGCCCCCAGACCTCAGTGATGCTCTTTCTCTGGCTTCAGACTCAGACAGAGCCACACCACTGGCCTTCCTGGTGTTCCAGCTTACAGGCAGCAGCTCTTTGGGCTTCAGACCTCTTGGCCTCTATAATCTTGTGGGTCAATTTCTGTAATAAATCTCTTCATGTATACACACACACGCAGCACACAGACACGCAGTCAAGTGTTGCTTCATAATGAGGATGTGTTCTGAGAAACGTGTGGTTAGGCGATTTCGTCCTCTGCAAGCATCACAGAGGTCACTGACAAACCGAGACGGTACAACCTGCCACATGCCCGGGCCGCAGGGTGCAGCCTATGGCTCCTAGGCTACTAACCTGTACAGAGTGTCACTTGTACTGAACACGGGAGGCAGCTTTGACACAATGGCAAGTAATGGCGTATCTAAATATAGAGAAGGTACCATAAAAACAGGGCATAGATGATTAAAAATGGCACACTGGCGCAGGGCTGTTCCCATGAATGGAGGTTGCAGGACTGAAAGAGGCTCTGGGTGAGTCATGAGTGAGTGTAGGTGACTGAGAAGGCTGAGGACATTAGTGTACACTACTGTAGACTTTATAAACACTGAATGTATTAACACTTTTTTCTATCTTTAATAATAAATTAATCTTATCTTACTGTACCTTTTTATTTTATACACTTTGTAATTTTTTAACGTTTTGACTCTTGTAATAACTTAAAACACAAACAAGTACAGCTGTACAAAAATGTTTTTTAAAGATCTTTATTCTATAAGCTTTTCCCTATTAATTTTTAAAAAAATTTTTACTTTTTAAACTTTTTTGTTAACAAGTAAGGCATGAACACACACATCAGCCTAGGATCAGGACCATCAAGATGTCACTAAACCCTGGAGGCTTTCTGCTGCGTTATAATCTTATGGGATATAGACAGTGTGTGTGAGGTCAGCGCTTGCAATCACTGAGATGCAGGCGGGACTGTGTGTGTCCTGCTGGTTCTGTGTCTCTGGGGAACCCTAAGCCACCTTAAGCCACTGCCCACACGGATCCTTATGGACAAAGGCTCCGGCACCCACGCACAGTCGGGGTGGGGGTAGTTCGTGCCGCGGTAACAAAGCATCTGAGCATCTAACCGGCAGAAACCCAGCGCGGTCTGTTGCCCTCTCCTGTGGGGGCTGGAGGGGCTGCTGCGCGGGTCTCCTGCTGGGGATGCCGCCCTGGCAGCCTGGGCTCGGGGTGGCCGTGGCGGGAGGGGCGTGGCCGTCCGCACCCCGCGCTCCGCAGCTCGCCCTTCTCCGTGTCGGTGGCGCAGGCGCCTGGAGTGCCTTGTTAGCCCCGCGCGACGGCTGCTGCGTCTCCGAGCTCCCGGGGCCTAGGCGTGCGCGGTGACCCCCCAGGCCGTGCCACGGAGCCCCCCTGCCGCTGTCCTCGCTGCTTAGCCTGCAGGCCGAGGGCCCTGGACTCATTCGCCCTGGAAATGCGCCGAGGCCCCCCGGGTGCACCTGCTGTCCGGGCAGCCGGGAGGGCGCAGGGACCCAGACCGCGGCTCCCACCCACGCTTGCTCACTGCTCCCGCCCCAGGCGCTGCGGGACCCCAGACCCCGCGAGGAGAGCACCGCCTCCCTCTGCGCAGCCACGACTTCTCTGCCTCGGCTCCTGAGCACGCAGCCCGGCCTCGCTAACCCCAGTCCTGAGGGAGAGACAGCCCTCGCCCTCCCGCCCCGCCCCTCCCCCGCCCACCCCCCCGCCCCGCCCCCGCCCCGCCCCGTCCCCCGTCCACCCCCCTTGTCCCCTGTCCACCCCCCCATGTCCCCCGTCCACCCCCCCACCATGTCCCCCGCCCACAGCCTCTTCTCTCTCCCGGCTCTTCCCGCAGCTCCCAGGGCTCCTCTCCGTAGGGGACAAGGCGGCCGCACAGCTTACCCCTCCCTGTCCCACCGCCTTTCCAGCCACGCTCTGCTCCTCCTCTTCCCTCCGCAGCTCCCCGGGTCCTGGGGCTCCCCCGCGCCGCCGAGCCTCTTGTCCAAGGCCACGCCGGCCTCCTGCTCCTCCCCACTGACTCCGCGCCAGGCCCTTCCTAGAAGCCTGGGGCTTCCCTGGCTTTCCCCCCACCCCACGGTCTCTTGGGTTTCCCCGTCCCTCTCGCCACGGCTCCCTGTTCACTGGCGACAAGCTCTAGGTGGGCCGCTCCCCAGGACCGCCGTGGGCCTCACTCCTCTCCGGTCCCTAAGACACTGCCTGGTCAGGTCGCCTCCCTTCTCTCCGCACCGCCCCTTCGTCTTGCACTCCAGACCACGTCCAGCTGACTATTCTAATTTCTTTTTGCTGTTAAGGCATTTGTTTAAATTATGGCAGGAGCACATGACCTCGGGCCTGGGGGGCTCCAAGCATGCCAGGGTATCTAGACACAAAGCAGGGCTGGCTTCATATCCAACCCCGCCCCACCGTCTGGACTGCTTTCTTTACATGGACCTGCACACGTGTGTACATACGAAATAAAATACACAGTTTTGTCTAGCGATGCTGCTTTTTCACAAATGGAATCATACATATTTCATGCGTTGTCTGCAACTTGCTTTTTACATTTAACACGATGTCCCGGGAGCTTTCTACATTGGCCCACTTAGTTCGACCTCATTTTCTTTGATGGCTGCAGAGGCTTCTGTCCTGTGGGCGATGCTGCTGTGTAAGGAGCTCTCCTCTGCCGGCGAAGAATTAAGGTGCTTCTCTTTTCTTCCCCTTCTGATTCTTTTTTTTTTTTCTATTACCAAACTGCAACTAGCATGGATATGGATGATTCTTCTGTGTTCAGGCAGGCGTCCCCAGCTACAGCGGAGGCCTCAAACAGGCTTTCTCTGCTCCTTCATGGTGGACATTTCCATATTGTTTTCTGAGAAGGTTGTAAAAAGTATTCACCACCAGCCGCGCAGCCAATTACCTGTTTTTCTTACACTTTTGTCATTGTTAGAAAGTCTAATCCTTATCTCCCCACCCCCAATTTTATGGGTGAAAAACAATTTCTCATTATTACTCTCATCAACATCTTTGATTTCCAGTGAAATCAAGCATTCTTTTTATTTGTGTTTGTAGATCTTTAGATGTCTTTCTTTAATCCACAGAATTTGCCTGTGTTTGTGACTTGGAAATCTGCGTTGATTTTGTCCCCTGGCAGCCTGTTTTCCAGCCTGTTTTCCATCGTCCACCCTGCCCTTTCCGTGGGATGTGCCTGCTCCAGTGTACCTCACTGCACGGAGGTACATCTGCTTCTTTCTGGGATCTCTAACTTGAACCTTGTCTGCGGGACCAATTTTCATTGTTCCCTCCCCTCTGCCCCCTCCCCCCGCCCCGCCCCCAGGAAACCATGTTTACTAAGCATGTTCTTTTCCAGGTGAATTTCAGTCAGTGTGTCAAATTCCATAAAAGATGCAACTGCAGTTTGACTGGGATTCCACGGCACATCTGGATCACTTTGGGAGACCGTTGACATCTTTACAATGTTAATTTTCTCATTCAAGAAGAACATGTCTCTCCATTTACTCAGAAAGTTTCTTTTGTGTCTGCCAATAAAGTTTTACTTTTCCTCACACAGGTTTTGGGTGCATTTTTGTTCCTTCCAACCACACTGTCTTTAATTTACACTCCTATTTTGGGAGTGTAAATTAGTTCAACCATTGTGGAAGACAGTGTGGCGATTCCTCAAGGATCTAGAACCAGAATACCATTTGACCCAGCAACCTCATTACTGGGTATATACCCAAAGGATTATAAATCATAGTACTATAAAACATGCACACGTATGTTTATTGCGGCACTGTTCACAATAGCAAAGACTTAGAACCAGGCGTGGTGGCTTACACCTGTAATCCCAGCACTTTGGGAGGCTGAGGCGGGCGGATCGAGACCATCTTGACTAACATGGTGAAATCCCATCTCTACTAAAAATACAAAAAATTAGCCGGGCATGGTGGTGGGCACCTGTAGTCCCAGCAACTCAGGAGGCTGAGTCAGGAGAATGGCGTGAACCCGGGAGGCGGAGGTTGCAGTGAGCCGAGATCACACCACTACACTCCAGCCTGGGTGACAGAGTGAGACTCTGTCTAAAAAAAAAAAAAAAAAAAAAAAAAGCATTCCTATTTCTTCACATCCTCTCCAGCATCTGCTGTTTCCTGACTTTTTAACGTATACTGAATCATAACAAACGACATTAGTAGATTTCAAACGTCGTAAGTCCTTGAATTCCTAGAGTAACCTTCCTCCAGGTTCCAGCTCCTCAAGGCTGACTCCTGCTTCCCTAGCCGGTGTTCCCCCGCTGGAGATGGCCTGGCTCCTGTGGATGGATGGACAGATGGACGGATGGCAGGCTCCAGCAGCTCCCTAGCCAGCTCTCAGCTCACTATGGAGGAGGGCTGGTGTCCGTATTTCCCACCTACAAGTTAATACTTTTCTATCACATGCTTGCATCCACCAATATTTTATGTGCCTTAAAGTTGACATAAATGGCAAAATAGTGTCAAGGTTCTTGCAACTTGCTTTTTTCGCTCACATCAAGTTTTTGAAATTTATCAATATTGATGGACATCAATTCAGTGTGTTTCTGTTAACTGGAGTAAATGTTCCGTCATGCCAATGAGGCACAGATTAATGATCCTTCCCCACTCAGGAACTTACAAATGAATTCTGCTTTCCCACCACACCATGAGCAGCCTTGCTTGTGTCTGCTGGTGCCGTGGCCAGGCCACTGCAGAAAGAGCCCCTGGCTTGTGGGAATGTGTGTTGTCAGCTTTCCACGCCAGCTTTTAACAGTGCCTGGCACTTTATAAATGTTCAATAAGTATTAACCATTAGCGTTATCATTACCATTATTATTAAGTATTGCTGTGTTGCTGTCCAAAGTGGTTATACCAATTTACACTCCTTCCAGCAACAGACGGAGTTTCCATTTCCACAGATTCATGGCAACACTCAGTAGTATCAGACTTATTAATTTTTTACACTCTAATGGGTGAAAAATGGCATCTAGTTGTTTTAATTTGTGTTTCTCAGTGTTAGCAGTGAAGCTCAGCCTCTTTTCACATATTTATTGCCCATCGTTTTCTCCTGATATTTATTGTTTCTTATCATTTGCTCATTTTCCCATTGGGTCGCTTGCCTTTTTCTTATTGATTTTCAGAGTTATTTATGGATCTGGGTAGTGATACTTTATTGGTTATGTGGATTGCAAATATATCCTCTCAGACTGAGTCTTGTAAATTTTTTTGCTTTATTGATGGTGCCTTTTTCTGAACAGAATTTTACGTTTTACTGTGTCTGATACCTCAAACTTTCCCTTATGTTTTGTGATATTCGTATAAACTCATGTTATCTTTTACAGCTTTGCATTCTCACATTTAGGTGTTGGCCTATCTGTGATTCATTTTTTCTTGATGAATTTGTTTTCTGTTGCTCCAGCACCACGTGCCAAGTAGTGAACCCCTTCCCCATTGAGGGGTGATGCCCCCCATCCTATATCAAGTTCACATATAATCATGGGTCTTTTTCTAGCTGTAGCCTCAGTTTCATTATTTTGTTTACCCATCCCTGAACCATGTCATACTCTCTTAAGACTTGCGGCTCTATAAAATAAGTTGTGATATCCGTTATCTCTCTCACCTTTATATTTAGGTATGTCTTGGCTATTTCTGGCTCATTGCTCTTGTATATTAATTTTGTAAATCAGCATGAGAAACTAATTTTGGAAAAATATTTTGGAAATACATTTAATCTTTAGATCAATGTAATGATAGTTTTCATCATGACGGAGTCTCCCCATTCATGAATATGGTATATTTCTCCATTCACTTAGGTCCTCTTTCATGCCTTCCAACAAAGTTTACCCATTTCCTCCTAACAGGAAGGTCTTGCACATCATTACATGTATCTCTGGAAACCTTGTGGGTTTTTTCACTGTTAATGGAATCTTATATTACTTATCTAATTTTTGCTAGTAATTTTTATGCTGAATTTATATCCTGCAATTCATTGAACTCTCTAGTTAATTCTAATAGCTGTCTAGATTATCTTGAATTTCCTCTTCAGAAATGTTCTGCACATAGTAATAGCTTAGTTTTTTTCCTTCCTAGACCCTATAACGATTTTTTTTCTTCTCACAATGTGCTTCCAGACTCTGTAGCCCAATGAGGCATAAAAATGGAGCTGATTTTAGAGCAGTGCTGAATTTTACAATTAAAGGTAATACTTTCTATAGGGTTTAATCATCTTTATCAGGATAAGGAAATTCTTTTTTATTCTTAGGTTAGGAGGTTGTTGTTCCCCTTAAATCATAAGTTAGTGTTTATCTTCTATAAGGTTTTAGTTCAGTAGTATTTTTTACCTGCATTAGTAGTTATCAGTATTATTATTTTACACACTCAGTGCTCCTTTAGATTTGCCTGTATTATCTTGCATTTTCTTTGCTTGTCCAAGCTTCATGTATCTTATTCCATCTTCTCAGGTTCAATTTACTTTTGGTCAAAGTATACCTCTTAGTGTGGTGTTGTGTGTAGGTCTTCAGTGGGACAATCTCTCGGATGTTTTGGTTCTAAAAGTCTTCATTTCATCCATTCTGTCAGTTCTCTTTTCACTCTGTTGATTGTTTCCTTTGGTGTGCTGAAGCTTTTTAGTTTTATATAATCCCATTTGTTTATCTTTGCTTTTGTTGCCTGTGCTTTGAGGTCTTATTCGTAAAATATTTCCTGAGACCAATGTTGTAAAGCATTTTCCCTGTGTTTTCTTCTAGTAGTTTTTATAGCTTCAGGTTTTACATTCAAGTCTTTGATCCATTTTGAGTTAATTTTGCATAGGGTGAGAGATATTTGCCAACTATTCATCCAACAAGGGATTCATATCTAGAATATACGAAGAATTCAAACATCTCAACAGCAAAAGAAGAAAAAAAACAATTAAAGTGGGCAAATGATTTGAACAGATAGTTCTCCAAAGGACCTGCAAATGGCTAACAAATATATGGAAAAAGTTCAATATCACTAATCATCAGATAAACGCAAATGAAAACCACAGTGAGGTATCATCTCACCCCAGCTGGAATGGCTACTGTCAAAATACAAAAAATAACAACTGGTGTGGAGCTGGAGAAAAGGAAATTCTTACTCACTATTGGTGGGTACAGTCACGATACAGAACAGTATAGAGTTTCCTCAAAAAAACAAAAATAGAACTAGCATATGATCTAGCAGTCCCACTGCTGGGTAAATAGCCAAAGGAAAGGAAATCAGTACATCCAAGAGTTGTCCGCACTCCCTGTTTGTTGCAGCACTATTCACAATAGCCAAGCTATGGAGTCAACCCAAGTGTCCATCAACAGATGAATGGCTAAAGAAAATGTGATTTCACACACACACACACACACACACACACACACACACGCACACAGAAATACTATTCAGCAGTAAAAAATGAAGTCTTGTCCTCCATGGCAACATGGATGAGCCTAGAGGACATAGTGTTAAATGAAATGAGCCAGGAACAGAAAGTTAAACATGTTCTCACTCATACGTAGAAGCTAAAAAGTTGATCTCATAAACAGTAATATTTTTTACCTACATTAGTAGTTGTCAGTATTATTATTTTACACACTCAGTGCTCTTTTAGATTTGCCTGTATTATCTTGCATTTTCTTTGCTCATCCAAGCTTCATGTATCTTATTCCATCTTCCTAGGTTCAATTATTGGAGACTGGAAAGGGAAGGGAGATATAGGGAAATTTGTTAAAGGACACAAAATTGACAGGAGGAATAAGTTCTAATATTTTATATACTGTGGGATGACTATAGTCAGCAATATATATTTTCAAATAGCTAAAAGAGAGGGTGTTGAATGTTCCCAACACAAAAAACGATCAGTATTTTAGATGACAGATACACTAATTACCCTGATCTGATGACTATACATTGTATGTACAGAAACATCACTACATACCCCATAAATACATACAGTATTATGTGTGAATTTTTAAAAATAAGTAATTTTTAAATGCAGTCATTTTATACTATCTCTTGAACACTGTTCAGCAGGATATAGATTCCATATTGATGATTATTTTCATTAGCACTTAGAATATATTGTTCCATTGTGTGTGGTCGTGATTGTTGCAATCGTGAAGTTTGCTCTCAGTCTAATCCGAGTGTCTTTATAGTTATACGTTTTTAAAAAGTGCTTTCAGTGGTTATCTTTTTCTTTGATAATTTACAATTTAATTTTAATATTTCTTTTTAAAACAGTGTTATGAGGGATGATTGACATACAATAAACCGCACATATTGAAAGTGCAAAATTTGATGCATTTGATGTATGTTTATGCTTGTGAAACCATCACTACAGTTAAGATAATAAACATATCCATCACCCCAGTCTCTCCTTGTGCCCTTTGTAATCCTTCCCTGCAATTCTCCACCCTCAGCCTGTCCCCAGGCAACCACTGACCTACTTTCAGTTATCATAGGTTAGTTTGCATTTTCTATAATTTTATGTACCTGGAAGCATAGTGTATGTCCTCATACTTTTGTGGGGTCTGGCTTCTTTCCTTCAGCAAAATTATTTTAAGATTCATCCATGTTTTTGGCAGTATCAACAACCCATTTCTTTCTATGGCTGAAGAGTCTTCAATTTTATGAATACACGCAATTTGTTAACGCATTCACGAGTTGATGAACATTTGGATTGGTTCCAGCTTTTGGTTATTACAAATAAAGCTGTTATAAACATTTGCATACAAACCTTTATATAGACATATGCTTTTATTTCTCTATGAGTAGAATGGCTGGATCATATGGCAGGTGTATTTAGCTGTTTAGTAAACTGCCAAACTGTTTTCCAAAGTGGTTGTGCCATTTTTACCTTCCCACCAGCAGTGTAGGAGGTTTCTAATTTCTCTACATCCTTGCCATCACTTGGTTTGCCAGTCTGTTTAATTTTACACATTCTGGCAGGTGTGTAGTGGTGTCACCTTGTGGTTTCAATTTGCATCTCTTTATTGAATAATGATATGAAGCATCTTTTCATGATCTTACTTGCCATCAATATTTCTGTTGGTGAAGTGTCTTTTCAAATCTTTTGTTCCCCTTTTTATTGGATGTTTGAATTTTATTATTGAGGTTTGAGAGTTTTATACATTCTGCATAGAAGTCCTTTACAGATATGTGATTTAAAAATACATTCTCTTGATCTATGTCTTTTCATTCTCTTAGCAGTGTATTTTGAAGAGTGGAAGTTTTTAATTTTGATGAAATGCATATTATCAATTTGTTCTTTTGTGAATTATGCTTTTGATGTTGTATCCGAAGTCACAAAGATTTCTGCTCTCTTTTAAAAATTTTATAGTTTAAGGTCTATGATTCATTTGAATTAAAGTTTGTATATGCTGTGAGGTATGAATCAAAGTTCACTTTTTTGGGGATTCAGCATCATTTGTTGAAAAGACTATACTTTCTCCATCGAATTGTCTTTGTACTTTTGTCAAAAATCCATTGGCCATATATATGTGAGCCTATTTCTGGAAACTCTATGTGTTTCATTGATCTATTTGTCTATATTGTTTTAATATAGCTTTATATTTAGCCTTCAAATCAGATAAATAAGTCCTCCAACTTTGTTCTTCTTTTGCAAAGTTATTTTCTAGGTCCTTCATTTATTTTCCATATAAAATGTGAAGTTCAATAATTGATTTTCATTTTAAAAATCCTTCTGGAATTTTGATTGAGATTCCATTGATCTATAACTCAACTTGGGAGAATTGATAGCTTAACAACTTCAAGTCTTCCTATCCATGAACATGGTACATGTTCCATTTAGTTAGGTCTTCTTTAATTTCTCTCAGCAATGTTTTGTAGTTTAAAATGTACAAGTCTTACACATGTTTTATTGGTTTATGGCTAACAATTTTATATTTGTTAATGGTATTGGAAATGATAACATTTTTAAAATTTCAATTTCTGATTGTTATATGTAAAAATACCATTAGTTTATGTATATTAATCTAGAACTCTGCCACTTTGCTAACTCACTTACTAGTTCTAGTGGCTTTTATTTCATGGATTCCATGGGCTGATCTACACAGATGATAAGGAAAGTGTTACTCTTTCCAATCTAGATGATTTATTTATTTTCCTTGCCTTATTTCATGAGATAGAACCTCCAGTACAATGTTTAATAAAAGTGGTGAGAGTAGATATCTTTACCTTGTTCTCAATTTTAGGAAGATATAGATTTTTGTTGTTGTTGTTGCTGTTTGTGTAGACGGCCTTTATTCTATGAGGACTTTTCATTTTTATCCGTGGTTTTCTGAGGGTTTTTAATCATGACTCAATGTTGGGTTTTATTAAGTGCTTTTTCTATTGAGATGATCATGCGCATTTTTCTTTTTAGTCCGCTAATAAGATAAAGTTCATTTATTGATTTTTGAATGTTAAATCAACTTTGTCTTCCTGAGGTAAACTACACTTTGTCATGATTTAGATAAACTAGATTTGCTAAAATTTTGGTAAGAATATTTTCATCATTGTTCATGAGGGATATTGGTCTCTGTTGTCGTTTCTTATATCTGTTTGATTTAGTAGGAAAGTAACATTCTCTTCATCGAATAAAAAAAGTACCTCTTCATTTTCTATTGTCTGGAAGGATTTGTGTAGAATTGTTATTTTTTCCTCAAATATTGTTAGACTTCACCATGAAAACCACCTGGGCCTATAGTTTGCTTTGTCATTGGGATTTTAATTAAAAACTTGATTTAGTTAATAGATATTCATGTTATCTATTTCTTCTTGAGTGAACTTTGATAATTTATGGCTTCTAAGGAATTAGCTTATTTCATCTAAGTTATCAAATTTATTAGAAAAAAGTGGCTCACAATAGTCCATTGTTTCCTTATAATGACTGCAGAATATTTGGTGACACCCACCCTTTCATTCCTGATATTGGTAATTTGTGCCTTTTTACCTTTTTCTTTATCAACTGACTAGAAGTTTAACAATTTAATTGATTGTTTAAAATGATTAGCTTTTACTTTCTTGGATTTTTCTTATAATTTTTACTTTTCTCTTTCATTGATTTCCGTTCTTTTTATTATTTTCTTTTTCAGCTTACATTGTGTCTAATCTGCTCTTCTCTTTTCAGTTTCTTAAGTGAAAATGTAAGTCACTGATTTGAGACCTTTCTTTTTTGTTATAACATAGGTTCTTAGTGCTTAAATTTGCCTCCAAGCATACATTAGCTGCATCTCCCTGATTTTGGTATGTTGTGTTTTCATTTTCAGCTCAAATAACTTTCCAATTTCTCTTTTGATTTCTTATTTGAGAGATATGGTTTGGCTCTGTGTCCCCACCCAAATCTCGCCTTGAATTGCAGTTTCCATAGTCTCCAGGTGTCAAGGGTGGGACCAGGTGGAGGTAATTTAATTATGGGGGTGGTTCCCCCCATGGTGTTCTTTTGATAATAAGTGAGTCTCATGCAATCTGACGTTTTTTTGGTGTGTTTTATTTTTTCAACAATTAATGTCCGCCCTTTAATCTCCCCAAGAGGGCTGGGCCCAGGCAGAACCCATCCCAGCACCCCCACCTACACTCAGAGACCAGCCCTGGGGGCCCAGGATCACCCAGCCGTTGGAGGGCCACACACAGGGTCCATTCCTTTCTTGCAGTCCCCCAGCTAGACCCTCTCCCCCAGTCCGGCGCTGTGGGCCCCGGAGCCTAGGTTCCTTCTGCCCTGGAGGTTGGGGAAGTCCTGGATCAGCAAGGGTGGGCTCGAGCATCTTCTCCACTGTGTGCGTGTGTTGGGGGCATATGTAGATGTGTAATGAATGTGCGTGTGTACACGTAGATAAGGGTGAATTCTGCATGCGCTGGCTTCCTGAGATCTGCACAGGAAGTGGCTCTGTGACCCCCGCCTGGCCCGAAGGTATTATTTTTTCTGGGCCAGGAAGGCCCCACCGAGAATCAGGGCTATGGCTGCCACAGCCACATCTCCAGCCACCAGCAGGGGGTTCAAGTTCTCGCAGGAACAGGGACCTCGACCCCTAGGCCCCCGCTGGCAGCCTCGTCCTCCTCTGCCCCGTCCCCAGGACCCTTGGGCTCCGGGGTTGCATCAGGACTGCTGGGCACCATGGGGGCTGTGGGGGCTGGCTTCAGGTTGCCGTGGTTGTTGAGAAGGACGGGGTTTGCCTTGGCCGGGGTCTTCTTGGCAGGCGCCATGGTGGGGGCTGCCAGTGGCTGCTGCTTCTCTGCCGGGGCTTCCTTCTTCCAGGGCTCGGTCAAGGGGGATTTCCCATCGGCTGCCGGGGGTACCTTGGCCTCGGTGGTGGCCTGGGTCACCTTGGTGTCGGGCTTGGGGCTGCTGGCCGATTTCCCTCTGGACTCCGTGGTGGGCAGGGTGTATGGGACAGGCAGGTGGCTGCAGCAGAGGGGCTCAGGACAGCTCGTCACCCCTGGGCATTCTATGGACACGTCCTCCGGCCTCGCCTGGGTTGCGTGCTCCTCTGCAGGACGGCGGCGGCTGCAGACGCAGAGTAGAGCTCGGAAGTTTCCGCAATCTGATGGTTTTACAAGGATCTGGCATTTCTCCTGCTGACACTCATTCTCTCTCCTGCCGCCCTGTGAAGAGGTGTCTTCCACCGTGACTGTAAGTTTCCTGAGGCCTCCCCAACCGTACAAAACTGTGAGTCAATTAAACCTCTTCTCTTTATAAATTACCCAGTCACGGGTATTTCTTCATAGCAGCGTGAGAAAGGACTAACACATCAAGTCATGGGTTATTTAGAGGTGTGTGCTGTTCAGTTGCCAAATATTTTGAATTTCTAGATATCTTTCTGTTGTTGATTTCTAATTTAATTCCATTTTGGCTGAGAATTTGATATGAATCTAGTCCATTTGTTGAGACTTGTTTTATGGCCTAGAATATGGTCAATCTTGGTAAATGTTCTGTGTGTCCTTGAAAAGATTGTGTATTCTGCTGTTATTGGGTGGAGGACTCTATAAATGTCTGTTAGGTCAAGGTGATTGATGGTGTTGTTCAAGCCTCCTTTTTTTTTGCCCATTTTCTATCTACATTTTTCTAATAATTACTGAGAATAGGGAGTTGACACCTCTAATTCTCAATTTATTTATTTCTACTTGCAGGGTGATCAGTTTTTGCTCCATGTATTTTGAATATATGTTATTATGTGGATACAATTTAGGATTATTATGCCCTCTTGATACATTGACCCTCTGTTATGAAATTACCTATCACTGATATTATTTGCCAGGAAATTTACTTATATTGTGATTAATATAGTCATTCCAGCTTTCTTTTGATCAGTATTAGCATGGTGCATTTTTTCCTAGCCTTTTACACTTAATCTGTTTATAGTTTTACAGTTAAAGTGGGTTTCTGGTAGTTAGCATATAGTTGCTTTTGCCTTTTTGTCCCAATAAGACAATCTTTGCCTTTCAAGTATAGTATTTAGTTTTAATGTGATTATCGATGTGATGGGTTTAAATCTTCCACTTTGTTGTTTTCTACTTGCTTTTTTTCCCTCATCTGCTTTTTTTTCTTTCCTCTTTTTCCAACTTCTTTTGGATTAACTGAGTATTTATTATGATTTAGTTTTATCTTCTTTGTGGGCTCATTGGCTATACATCATTTTTGTGTGTGGGTGCTTTAGGTTTTATAGGATACATCTTTAGCTTATGTTCTACCTATAAGTAATATTACACCACTTCATGTGTAGCATAAAATTCCTATAACAGTAATAATCTAGTTCCCTTGTCCCAGGGTCTGTGTTCTTGAATTATACATTTTCTTTCTATACATGTGATAAGCCCCACAATGTTGTTATCACATTTCCTTTAGTCAATTATTTATGTGTTAAAGAACTTGACTATATTTTATGTGCATTCATGATTAAACCCACAAGTTTACCGCTCCTAGTGCTCTTCATTCATTTGAACAAATCTAGATTTCCATTTGCTATTATTTTTCTTCTGCATAAAGGACTTTATTTAACATTTCTTATAAGTCAGGTCTGACAGCAAT